>NC_000023.11:88220117-88523148 GCF_000001405.40 Homo sapiens | reverse complement strand
TCCTTTGGGTATATAGACAGTAATGGGAATGCTGGGTCAAATGGTGTATCTGTCTTTAGGACTTGGAGGAAATGCCACACTGTCTTCCACAATGTTTGAATTAATTTACATTCCCATCAACAGTGTATAAGTGTTTCTTTTCCTCCACAACTTCGCCAGCATCTGTCTTTTTTTCTTTTTTTGACTTTTTAATAATAGGCATTCTGCCTGGAGTGAGATGGTATCTCATTGTGGTTTTGATTTTCATTTCTCTAATGATCAATGATGTTGAGCTTTTTAAATATGATTGTTGGCTGCATGTATGTCTTCTTTTGGAAAGTGTCTACTCATGTTCTTTGTCCACTTTTTAATGTTTTTGTTTTTCTTGTTCATTTATTTATGTTCCTTGTAGATGCTGGATATCAGCCCTTTGTCAGATGCACGGTTTGCAAAAACTTTTTCCCATTGTGTAGGTTGTCTGTCTACTCTGTTGATGGTTTTTTTGTTGTTGTTGTTTTGTTTTGTTTTGTTTTTACTGTGCAGAAGCTCTTCAGCTTAATTAGATATCATTTGTCAATTTTTGCTCTTGTTGCAATTGCTTTTTTCATCTTTGTCATGAAATATTTTCCCGTGCCTACATCCTGAATGGTATTGCCTAGATTGTCTTACAGGGTTTTTGTAGTTTGGGGTTGAAAATTTAAGTCTTTGTTCCATCTTGGTTAATTTTTTAATATGGTGTACGGAAGGTGTATTAGTCCCTTCTCGCACTGGTATAAAGACATACCTGAGACTGGATAATTTAAAAAGAAAACGTACTTTTAATTGGCTTATGTTTTTGCAGGCTGTACAGACTTCAGCTTCTGGGGAGGCCTCAGAAAACTTAAAATCATGGCACAAGGGAAAGGGGAAGCAAGCACATTCTAAATGGTGGCATCAGGAGAAAGACAGAAAAGGGGGAGGTACTACACACTTTTAAACAACCAGATCTCATGAGAACTCTATCATGAGACAGCACTGAGTAGATGGTGCTAAAACATTAGAAACTACCCCCATGATCCAATAACCTCCCATCAGGCCCCACCTCCAACACTGGGGTTACAATTCAACATGAGATTTGGATAGGGGTACAGAGCCAAACCATATGAGAAGGGGTTCAGTTTCAATTTTCTGTATACGGCTTGCCAGTTATCCCAGCATCATTTATTGAATGGGGAGTCCTTTCTCCATTGTTGTTTTTGTCAGGTTTGTCCAAGATCACATAGTTGTATGTGTGAAGTCTTATTTCTGGGTTTCCTATTCTGTTCCATTGATCTATATGTCAGTTTTTGTATGAGTACAATGCTGTTTTGGTTACTGTAGCCCTATAGTATAATTAGAAGTTGGGTAGTGTGATGTCTCCAGGTTTGTTATTCTTGTTTGGGATTGCCTTGGCTATTCAGTCTCTTTCTTGGTTTTATATGAATTTTTAAATAGCTTTTCTCATTATGTGAAGAATCTCAATGGTATTTTAATAGCAATAGCATTGAATCTAAAAATTGCTTTTCACATTGTAGCTATTTTCATGATATTGATTCTTCTTCTCCATGAACTTGGAATGTTTTTCCATTTGTTTGTGTCCTCTCTGATTTCTTTAAGCAGTGGTTTGCAGTTCTCCTTGTAGAGATGTTTCACTTAGTTGTATTCCTAGGTATTTTATTATTTTTGTGACAATTGTGAATAGGAGTATATTCCTGATTTGACTCTTGGCTGGACTTTGTTGATGTATAAGAATGCTAGTAACTTTTGGGCAGTGCTTTTGTTTCCTGAGACTTTTCTGAAGTTGTTTATCAGCTTGAGACGCTTTTATGCTGAGATTATGGGGTTTTCTAAATATAGGATGATGTCATTTGCCAACATAGGTAGTTTGCCTTCCTCTCCTCCTGTTTGAATGCCCTTTCTTTCTCTTGCCTGCTTGCCCTGGCCAGGACTTTTAGTGCTATGCTGAATAGGAGTGGAGAGAGAGGGTATCCTTGTCTCATTCCAGTTTTCAAGGGGATTCTTTCAGCTCTTGCTCATGTATGAATATTGGCTGTGGGTTTGTCATACATGGCAGTTACTATTTTGAGGTATGTTTCTTCAATACCTAGTTTATTGAGAATTTTTCACATGAATGTTGAAGTTTATTAAAAGACTTTTCTGCATCTATTGAAGTAATCACGTGGTTTTTGTATTTAGTTCTGTTTATGTGATGAATCACATTTATTGATTTGCCTATGTCAAAACAACTTTGCTTCCCAGGAATAAAGCCTACTTGATCATGGTGGATAAGCTCTCTGATGTGCTGCTGAATTTGGTTTGCCGGTATTTTGTTAAGAATTTTTATATTTATGTTTATCAAAGATATTCACCTGAAGTGTTTTCTTTTTGGTTGTATCTCTGCCAGGTTTTGGTATCCCGATGATGCTGGCCTCATAGAATGAGTAAAGGAGGAGTCCTGTCTCATCAATTTTTTGCTATAGTTTCAGTAGGACTGGTACCAGCTCTTCTTTGTATATCTTTCATAATTCATCTGTGAATCCATCTGGTCCTGGGCTTTTATTGGTTGATAGGTTATATTTTATTGCCTCAATTACAGAGCTCATTATTAGTCTCTTCAGGGATTCAATTCAATTTTCTCTTTTCTTCTTTATTGGTCTAGCTAGTGGCCTATCTATTTTATTAGGTTTTTCAAAAACCGAGATCCTAGATTTGTTGATCTTTGAATGGTTTTTTGTGTCTCAATCTTCTTCATTTCAGCTCTAATTTTAGTTATTTTTCATCTTCTACTACCTTTGAAATTTGTTTGCTATTGGTTCTCAAGTTCTTTAGTTGTGATGTTATATTGTTAATATGAGTTCTTTCTTTTTGATGTGGGCATTTAGTGTTATAAATTTCTCTCTTAACACTGCCTTAGCTGTGTCCCAGAGATTCTGGTATGTTATATCTTTGGTCTCACCAGACCTGCCTTAAAAGAGTTCCTGAAGGAAGCAATAAATATGGGGGGAAAAAAGACCATTACCAGCCACTACAAAAACACACTGAAGTACACAGACCACAGTGACATTATAAAGCAACCACATAAACAAGTCGGCACAAGAACCAGCAAACATCATAATGACAGAATCAAATCCACACCTATCAATAGTAACTTTAAATATAAATGGGATAAATGCCCCAATGAAAAGACACAGAGTGGCAAGCTGGATAAAGAACCAACAGCCATTGTTATCCTGTCTTCAAGAGACCCATTTCAAATGCAATGACACACATAGGCTCAAAATGAAAGGAAGGAGAAAAATCTTCCAAGCAAATGGAATACAAAAAAAGCAGGGGTTGCAATCCTACTTTCTGACAAAACAGACTTTAAATGAACAAAGATTTTAAAAGGCAAATAAAGGCATGGCATAATGGCATCGAGTTCAATTTAACAACAACAACAAAAAAAACTAACTGTCTCAAATATATATGCACCCAACAGAGAAGCATCCAGATTCATAAAGCAAGTTATTAGAGACCTTCAAAGAAACACAGACTTCCACACAATAATAGTGGGACACTTTAACACCCCACTGGAGATATTAGACAGATTATCAAGACAGAAATTTAACAAGTATATTCAGGACCTGAATTCGCAGTAGAACATGTGAACCTGATTGATATCTACAGAACTCTTCACCACCAAACAACAAAATATACATTTTTCTCATTGCCACATGGCATATATTCTAAAATCAACCACATAATCAGAAGTGAAATACTCCTCAGCAAATGCAAAAGAACTGAAATAATAGCCATTAGTCTCTCAGAACACAGCACAATCAAATCAGAAAGCAAGACTAAGAAATTTACTCAAAACCATACAATTACATGGAAATGGAATAACTTGCTCCTGAATGAGTTTGGGGTAAATAATTAAATTAAGGCAGAAATCAAGAAGTTCTTTGAAACAGATAAGCGTAATTGACCAAAGAATTCCATAGCAATATCCCTGCACAGCTTGAAGAGATTAAAACCATTTTGTGTTTAAATTATTTTTTTCTTAATAATGCTCGAGGACATAATTGGTCCTGACCTTGTTTTGTTAGAGTAAATTATTTTATGTGAAATGAATCCTGGCATCTGTATTGGCTTTTACTTAATGAAAAGAAATTGTAGAGGATTGTGAAAGGAAAACAAATCTTGAGACCCCAAAATCACTGAGCTAACAGGAAAAGTCAAGCTGGGAACTGCTTAGGGCAAACCTGCCTCCCATTTTATTCAGTCATCCCTCTGCTCATTGGGATAAATGCATATCTGAATGCCTTCTTGGAAAAGCTAATTATAAACTCTAATCTGAAATCCCCCTCCCAACTTCAAGGTGTCCCACATTTGCTTCCAGTTGTCCTGCCTTTCCAGACCAAACCAATGTTTATCTTACATATATTGATAGATGTCTCATATCTCTCTAAAATGTGTAAAATCAAGTTGTGCCCCGACTACCCTGGGCACATGTCATCAGAACTTCCTGAGGCTGTGTCATGGGCATGAATCCTTAACTTTGGCAAAATAAACTTTCCAAATTGACTTGGACCTGTCTCAGATATTGTGGGTTCACAGGATTCTGATGCCTTACAATTATTCTAAAAAATATTTTTGGGAAAACTCACCCTTTCACTACTAAAATAATTCTGCGAATCAAAGTTGTTTGGTCCTCTGACAAGCCTCTGCCATGAAGGATGGAAGGTCTGCAGGGCCCTGAATCTAGTGTTAAGCAATCATCTCTTTTTCTTTTTTACTGCTAAATATTCATATGACTCACCTTCTTATGCTATTTCCATTTCCTCACACATATTCTACTTCTCGCAGAATGAGACTTCTATTTTACTATTTTACTAAAATGCCATTTTTGAAAGTCAACTTTCCTCTCCTTTTTGCCTCTGGAACACTTGTCACTTTCAAAAACTTCACTCTTATTAAAGTGCTCTGATCCTTTAGCTTCACGGACACGAGGACATATCTCATGTTTTCAGATAGTCCTCTTTTGATGGCCAACACACATACACGCACATTCATATGTACACACACATTCATATGTACACACACAACACACATACAAACACTCACAAGCATATATGTCATGTAACTTGGATGTCCATACAATACAATTTAAATTTTGTGGTTCACCTTCACTACTGTTTTGACCCACCAGTATTCCTGGTGGCTGAATACTGTTCTCTTGTGCATTTATATTCAGTTTAGAATTTCTACTCCTGTCCTTTTAGGTCACGTATATTTTTCTCCTTTATATTTTTGCTTCCATTCTAACTTCCGGAGCACCACATACAATTGTCTTTATTTTCTAGCATCCAGTGATTTGTTAAACATTGTAATACTTGCTACTTCTCAGGGTAAACAGATATAATGAGGGTGCCTTTAGTCTCTGTTGTCATATTTCTAAATTTCGTTATGGCTATTCTTCACTTAGGAGACTATTCCGTGGTGGGAACAAGACATAGATGCCCATTCTCAGAGATCTCATTATATATATTTCCCTTGTTTATTTTCTAACTTTTTCTTCTTCCTGCTCTTCTCAGAGGATCTTCGTAGATTTGTGAAAGGGAGGAATTGCAGCAGAGAAGTGATTCTGCTTGATTATATATTTTATCAAGTCTTCTTGGTTTATACTTGGAAAAGAAATGGAAACTTTGACATTTTAAAAACAGAAATATAAAAATGTAATGTCTTTACAAATCTGAATCTTCTGTGACAGCTTCCCAAAAGCAATGGATATCACTATTTCAAATTTCTGAAAAGTGAAGGCTCATGGAATGAACAAGTATATGGAAACAAATTTTATCTATATAATACTATATATTATGTATATAAACATATATGTAATCAGAGTGTTAGTCACATAGTATTTGTTCAACAAATACTTTAATAAAAATTTTGGTGCAGTTGCAAAGCATATTTTTTTTAGAAAATGGTTTAACCTGGATGTATTGTTGTTGCTCTTTCTATCAAAATATTTGGAATAATAATTGTATTTAGATTGCTTGAATATTCTATGTATAGGTCAAAACTTGCAGTAAATATTCTTTCATTTTTATTAACAAAAGCATAGTGTTTGAAAAATTATTTACAGAACATTTAGGCATTTTCATTGATATTCTGTCATTTTCTAATATAGAAATTCAAAGAAAAAATCAAACTCCTCTCCTGTGGAGGAATAGCTAGTACAAAAATCTAAAATATTCATTATTTTATTATAATAAAAAGTCACCTTTGAATTATTCTGATTTTTGCATGGCTTTCAAGCTGAACCTTGTAAATGAATAGTTTGACAGAACTCTTTAATGAAGGGTAATTACAAAAACAAAATATGGTTTCTAAATTGTAAAATTGAGCACTAGACTTAAATATAGTAATCTTATTCTAATCTCTTTAGAATTTTTTATATTTTATTGAACTAATTGATGTTCATAGTTATATAGATCAAATAAATATTATTTTCATGCATTTAAAATATTTTTTGAGCATCTAACATGTGATAAGAATTATTGTATTGATAGTAGATGCAGTAGTGGGCAAAGTGGTTATAATCCTCACAGGGTTTTCAGTTCAGTGAGAAAGATAAAATTTAATCAAACAATACTACAAATATATATTAAACCTATGACAAATGGGTGATATTTATTAAACAATTACTTCATTACTAGAACAATTTTTAAAGCAAAACCCCCACATAAGTTGCTAACATTGTTTATGGCTTTTTAAATATTTAGGAGATTATAAATATATGGTCCACCGTCACTCATAAAATGCAATTGTATCTTCCTATTTTATGGCATCATATATCTCACTGAATCCTCTCAATTCCTTTCCCCTAAAAAAACCCTTGTCTAATCCATACCTATCATACTTTGCTCCAACCTGTTCCCTTAAATGCCTTTTTTTGTTGTTACCACAGCAAATCATGTTATCCCACCATGCACATTCTCTTATGGGAGAGTTTCTTCATCTTGATCTATTTTTTTTAACCTTCTGGATAAAAAATGTGATTGACTTAAAAATTTATCAAATGGGGCCGGGTGCGGTGGCTCACGCCTGTAATCCCAGCACTTTGGGAGGCCGAGATGGGCGGATCACGAGGTCAGGAGATCGAGACCATCCTGGCTAACACGGTGAAACCCCGTCTCTACTAACAATACAAAAAATTAGCCAGGCATGGTGGCGCGCGCCTGTAGTCCCAGCTACACGGGAGGCTGAGGCAGGAGAATGGCGTGAACCCGGGAGGAGGAGCTTGCAGTGAGTCAAAATAGCGCCACTGCACTCCAGCCTGGGCGACAGAGCGAAACTCCGTCTCAAAAAAAAAAAAAAAAAAAAAATTATCAAATGGACACCATGTATTAGGTGAAATATTTTGTTATTGTTGATGAAGGAAAAGATGTGGGCGTTTGCAAAATACAATAAACTCCCAGCAATTAATACAGCTTTGATATCACAGTTTTCCCTTTGTTTCATAAGGAAAGCTCCATGCTTAAATGTACACCAAAACTCTAAATCCTAACCTGCTCCAACGCCATTTACTTCTAATTCTCCTTGGAGTGTATAAGAATCTTATTGGTGCCTCAGGAGGTAGTGTCGTGGAGAACTTGGCTAAGTACAGTACATCATAGAAAGCATTGGTTAAAGTAGGCACTATAAACCTCTCATATGAAGCATCACTAACTATCATTATTCCTTGGTTCATTCCATGCATAGTTAGACCTATGTAATTCTTTGGATGAATATGTATCTGATGATATTAGGCTTACTTACAGTAACATTGATAGAGGACACTTGCTGCTTGGTGGTCACTAAAGAGCAGTTATAAATGTACCATATGAATTCCAATTGCTGTCTACTGTATTGTTTACTTTTTCTAGGATGTAGAAGTCTCCAAGTGAAATTTATATTTGTGACTTTGGCACAAATCTCAGTTTATACCTTGTGAAATCTTACACAACTATTAGCATCTCTATGTCTTCATACATGTCCATCTTTGCATCATTTCTGTGATACTATCTCCAAGTTAAAATCTTTCCTCGTGTGTATAGCTTCCAAAATTATTGCTCATTCGTTGCCATTTACTGCCCAGGGTTAATTAAGATTTTAGTATCTTATTTAGACCTACCTAAGTAGAGTCAACACTTTTTAGGAAAAAGGAAGTGAGAATGAGTTGGTGCTAGTCCAAAGCTATTGTTAAGAAGCATACAGTGAATTGAGGGCTTGGCCAACAAACTCTCCACTTCCTCTATCTGCTTGCAAGCCACTCTTAGAAGAATACAAGGAAAGCACCTACTGGGCTTCAGAGGGGCAGACATTTTAAGAATAAATGAAATTAATTACTATTTCAATATCCCATAATGATCCCTATTAAAGAAAAGCAGATCAGAGAAATATATTAAAAAGTAGCTTAGAAAAAAACACAATTCTGGTTTTAAGAATAAAATACTCATTGCAAATTTGTTAATGCTAAGCCAGGGCTGTCATCCTTTGAGATATTAAGTTCTGAATAAAAATACAACAAAGAAAACTAAAGTATTGCATTCCAGAAGGATTTATATTGGGTTGAGTATCAATGTAGAATTAACAATAAAGAGTTATTTTTATCTAAAGTGGATGAAAAATAACATATGGAGAGGTGGAATATGAATGTGGCATAAGCATACATCATTTTCTTTCCCATTATTCTCTCATCTTCTTATAGTGATTTCTTAGCTAGATGGGAAATAATAGTAAACTTGCTACGTGATTAATGATATTTTTATACTCTCTTAAAGAAGAAAAAAGGAAATAAAGTCCTGTCTTTACTTTATAAGGTTAGCAGAAAACTTCCAGGTTGAAAAAATAAAACAAACTAGCTTATAAAAAAGAATTAAATTTTGGTCCTTTTAATCCCCAAATAAATCTTTTATATTCATCAGTAGTTGCTAAATAAGCAGACTTTTGAGTCACTAATGTTCAAGAACTACTTGACTACTATTAGAATGACATTAGAAATATTGAGCAATGTCTTTAAAAATGTGTTTATATTGATAATACTAACGCTGAGTAAAATTAGTCCTATAATATAGTAGGGGTTTTATTTTATTATTAAGTCCACAGAGAGTTTTACTGCTTTGGGACTCCCTAGCAGACAGTAACGCATGTATGGTAGAGAGACTTTGTTCCTCATTTCACCCCAGAACACTGTAAGGTTTTAGCTTCATCAGGGTTTCAGTAAATTAGTGTTAGTAACTGAATTTAGCATGGGCATTCCTGTTGCTACACAGCAAGTATAGTAGTAACCATAAAGAATATCAGCAAAAACAGAAAATGTGTAGTAGTCAATTGCAACTACATTGGCAGTTGGATCCAAAAGAGACGGTATTGCCCAAAACATATGTCATGGTAGTAAATTACACTTTACATAAGCAAATGTAAACTACTCCCTGGAAATGCCTAGACATATTTGTAGAGGGACTTTTCAGAGTGGTGTGGTCTTTCATTAGCATGTGGGGCAATATCCAGGGAAATATATTGAATCATGTTGATGATCCATTTTTAACTATGGAATGGGAGGTAATGCTTAGGTTATATCTATCTATCTATCTATCTATCTATCTATCTATCTATCTATCTATCTACCTACCTATGAGTCTTCAGGTTACAACCATCATCTATTTATGTATAGTTCCTCTTCTTTTCTTCTCCATTTTTATTCTTCTCCCTCTTCTCTTCTGAAAAATCCTGTCTTAGGTTTCCAAATTAGCTGACTTCTGTGAGGAATCAAGAAGAGATACAATCCAGATAGTGTGTCATCTAGGAAAAAGAAAGTGATATCTAGGACATTATTTGCCAGTCCAGAATATCCAAAACACTACCCATAATTTTACTACTAAACATTGTTAGCCATAAGTAAGCACACAGACATCTCTATACCAAATTTTAAAATTCCCATGGTGCACGTGAAGAAAAAATAAGCTTCTAATAAATTTTGAAAAAAATATCATTTAAATAACTTTGGGTATATAAACTTCTTAGTACTTACAGGGGAATTTGAAAAAATAATTTCTGTTAACTGTTTCTTAGGAAACAAGGATTCTCAAACCCCAGCTTTAATCCAGATAAAAAGCAGTGGCTTTGGGAGGCTTGAGTTTTTCTCTCCAATCATAACTTTACCATAGTTTAGATATCAGATTAAATCTGCCTGATTTTGTTTGTACATTGAATGATAATTTTTGTGTTAAGTTTGTAAACATTTGAATTAAAAATTATAATAATCATTCAGAACTTTCAAAATTGTGCAATTATTTGAATAGAAGACTATACATTATGGGTCATGAGTTAGATTAATTATTTATTTTACATTACACAAAAATAATTAGAAAATACTTGCATGTGTTCTGTCAACTAATGGCAAAAGGGAAAAAACTGTAATTTACTATGCCTTTAAATAGTATTTCCATTCAATAAGGAGACATCGGAATTGTATATAATATTTAAAGTGTATTCTAATAACTTTGAATGAACAATTTCTCAATATAAGCAGATAGTAGTGTCACAGTTAAGCCTTATAAACATAAAATTATGAAAGATTGTCAACGGTTAATACATAGCTCAGAGGAGTAGATTAAGAGAAATGCAGTTCAGTTGTGTTGGATTTATACTACAGTTTTGCTGACAGTTTATTGTCTCTGTTTTGTTGTGATAAAGAATTACAACAGTTGTGCAAGTTTACCCTCTGTATCTAGGCAATTTTTCATGAAAATGTCAATGTTGTCTACTACTTGCTTTTATTTCATGAATATACGTATTTTGTGGAAATATTTCAGGAAAGGCGGTATGAATCAATCATACAAAATTTTCTTGCTGCAAGCTTACATCTCGAAAGTTTCAAGTGTTTCTTATTTTACAGAAGAAAAAGAGAAAACATAAATTATTACAAAACCTGAACTTTGTGTGGGTCAATATAAAATTTAAGGCAACATCTACTCTAAGTCTGGAGGCCTCCAAGGACAAATCAGTGTTTCAGGCTGACCCATCATTCAGATACCCCATACAGTAAACATGGTTTCCAAGCCACCACTGCATGGGAAGAAAGATCTGGAGTGTCATGTACCTGGTCTTAAACCTGTGGTTCCCAGAAGTGACACATGCCATTTATACTCTCAGCCCATTGGCCATAACTAGTCACCTGACCCAGACTAGCAAATGTAGGTAAGGACGTAAATATTCCCTGAGTACTAGGACAGTACTCTTACAATGTAGCTTATATATGAATTACCAAATGATTTTGTTAAAATGCAGATGTTGTTGCAGTAGATCTGAGGTGTCAACTAAAATTCCACATTTTAACAACATCTTACGCAATGCTAATGCTTTTGGTGTAATCCACATTTTGAGTGGCAAGATTCCAGGTCATATATCTAGGAATTGAATTTTTGGGTCATGAAATGTGCACAAACAAACAATGTCAAATAATTTACGAAAGTCTTGGTACCAATTTATACACCTGAGGGTGATTTATAGATTTCTCATTGGTTCATATCCTCATTTAAAGTGTATTGTAATAACTTCGAATGAACAGTTTCCCTTGGTGATTTCAGACATCTTCATTTTACCAATTTAAATGATATAAAATCGAATCTAATTATAAACTTAATTTTTATTTCCCTGACCACTAAAATTTTGTTTCATTTCATATGTTGGTTTGCTGCTTGTGTTCTCTATTTAAAGTGAGAGTTTGTGTCGATCATAGATTTTAGCTCCCTGAACTAGAGAGGATTCACACAGTGGTATTTTATGAGGAAGTGTTTCTGTGGCACAATTATCAGTATAGCTGTGGGATGCTGAAGAGAGCAATGAACATTCATGCCACCACAATCAATTACTCCGTTAAGGGGTTCTGCTGGAACAATGCAGTTTCCCAGTTAATTTCTACTTCCCATTTAGATAAGCTAAACCAAACTATTCAAACTATTCAAACTTCCTCTATAAAAAGTCTCATATGTTGGCTCTTAGGAATGAAGGAATACCAGCAAATGTATGCACAAAAAACGACAAAGGGATATGAGAGGAAAGTGACATAATAAAACAAGGTTTCTTCTCCCATTTTCTATTCAATTGTTTATTTTGGATTTCTTGATTATGCAGATTGCGGATTGTGACTCTTTCTCTAATCTTTGTGTTTCAATGTCTTCTCAAAGATAGTAATTTGTGTTTTCACCTTTAGTAGACATTTTGATGAATTTCTTAATTTTCTTGCAGTCAAATTTATCAACATTTAAAAATGATTATTGCTTACTGTGTATTCTACAAGATGCACAATACTTATCAAGCAAAATACATAAAAGTAAGCTGTTCTTATGGAAAAAATAATACTTGGGACTGGCTCAGTTGTGGAGTGAGGAAACTAATATTCAAGTTTGAAAATTTTAAATTATGGAGTGTAATATATTTTGTAAAACTGTTGCTTACAATGTTTTGTAATGCACATCTTGTGCCTAGAGAGTCTGTAGCACTATGGGAAGTGAGTGAGAAGAATTGCTGTGCTTTGGCTAGTATATGCATTTTGCAAAGTATTCTTAGAAATAAATGAGCTCATATAAGATTTAGCTTATTTTCAAGTGTCCTGACAGGACTAGTAGACAGAACTCAGAGATCAGCGTCTCCATAGAAATAGGAAAGCCCATTGCTTTGAGGCCCTACATAGTAAAAGATAAGACTGAAGATTTTAAGGGACAATGGAATAGTAAGTTTACTCAATAAAAAAAAAATCATCTCTGCCATAAAGATCAAATTAAAAATGTGGCCTTTCCACGTATTATTTCTAATGGATTTATAGTTGTTAACAATAATGCGAGAGACAGAGGGGCATGCAGCCCAAGCCAAAAAAACAGATTGAACATGAAATTTATTTCAATAAAAAAATTTTGGATGAAGTTTCTGGTACATGAAATTGATAAGAAGAAAGTAGACATAAAGCCCACTATATTTAGAGATAAATATATTGCCAAAGACACCATGAACCTGTTCTAAACAACAACAACAACAACAACAAAAACTTGGGCTATTCAAGAATTCAAGACAAAAGCAACACTTAGGCTCCTAAACTTGCAACAGAAAGAAATAGTCCATGAAAGCTGCTCAACACCTGATTCAAACATGGCCATAAAAGGTAGATTGAAAATCCTACTAAAAGAAAAAAGCATTACTTTAAAAAAGCCTAATTTGACCAAAAGAAAAAATAGAATCATTTGTAATAAAAAGTACATTGAAACTAATGATTTGACAAACGATTAAACATAAATGCATACATAAGAAACCAGAATTAAGAGCTTAATAATTTTTACAGTGTGCAGTACACAAACAAAAATAAATATTTACAGTAGTTTTACTCTTATCTGTGGGGAATACATTCCAAGACCCCCAGTAAATGCACAAAACCACAGATAGTACTGAACACTGTATATACTATGTTTTTTAATACATGAATACCTATGATAAAGTTCAATTTACAAGTCACCATAAGAGAAAAACAAGAAAAAATAAAAAATATAATAGTTATAAAAATATACTAAATAAAAATAATGTGAATGTGGTCTCTCCTTACATACAATATATATAATAATTTATATGTAATTAATATATTATATGTGTATATATAATTGTATTGTTCTCACCTATTTTTGAACTGTGCTTGTCTGAGGGTAACTGAAACACCACAGAAAGCTAAATCACAAACAGGGGAGGGATGATTGTAACAAGAACAATTAAGAAATAAGTACAGGATGAAAAATTCAACAAATGTTGAATATACATTACAGCAAGAGGGGTCCCACAACTTTGGCAAATGAGGTATTTAAGTACAGAATGACTTCAGATGTTGACTAAATGTTACAGCAAGGGAGGCCACACAACTTTGACAAATTAGTGAGTTTTTAAATAGACACAGCCTGAGTAATTTGTACTGCTGATTGAATAAATACACAAATCCTCAAATTTAGGGAGTCCAAATATCCTACACTGGAATAGTATAAAGAAATCTATATTGATATTTCTTATAGTTTAACTAAAGAACGTTAGAAGAAAAAAATATTAAAAGCAAAAGCATGTGACAAAAAGAGGAATTTCTGACACTCCTTATCCATGCCCAGAGACACTGAGCAGGTGGGAGGGCAAGTAGATAAATTCCAATACAAAAAGCAATCACCTAAGGAAGCACACTTTTTTGTCCAAAGTGGAGGAGAGGCCCAGTTTTAATAACTACCTGGAAAGGGTAGCTTCTGACAAGCTTGAGATACCCTTGCCAGAGGAAAGACCCCCGATGGCACTTGGTTCTTTAAATGTATTTCATTTCCTGGTGATATTTTTATTGTAATCTTTGTTTCAAGATCATCATAATTTCTCATTCAAAAGTTTGAACAATTTTTTGATAACATACTTTTACTGGTAATTCTAACATCTGTGTCATCTCTTTATTGGTGTCTTTTAATTGTTTGCACTTATTGATAGCCTGAGTAATTTTAAATTGTAGCCTGGAGATTTTGAATATTATATTCTGAGACTTTAGGTCTTCTTTACATCCTATACAGAGGGCTAATATTTTGTTTTAACAGACAATTGACATATATTTGGTTCAGGCTGTGAGTTCTTATCCACATTCTATGGGCTGTGGTTCAAACGTCAATTTTGTTTTCAAAGCCATTGTATTGTTTATATGATCTGTCACATGTAATCATTGCCTAGTTGTCAGTCTCCACCTGAAAATAAGATCTATGTGTTAGTTCTCAAAAACTGTGGCAAGAAAATTGAGATTTTACCCATGAATTAGTCTTAGGCAAGTTCAGGATTTTAAAAACAGCTTTGTGGGCCTGCTTTCCCAAAGTCCTCCCTCTCCTTTACATTCAGGTTCTCTTGGTCTCCCAATTTTGGAACTCTGACCAAAAACCATCCACTTCTGATATTATGTTGCATTCAGGCCATGTGGCAAGATGGCAGGGAGGTACTAAAAATAATTCAATAAGGTTTGGCCCAGCCATCTTGTAGCCACTGAATCCCTTCTGCCCTGTCAGTGTTTTCTTAGTGTTTTGACTTCTGCACACATCCTTCATCAGCTATGGTAACCTCCCAAGGAGTACATGGAAACTGAGGAATGAGAATAACACAGGGTCTATTATTGAGAATGATGCATGTGCTGAGGAGAATAATGTTTATTCTGCAGCCATGGAATGAAATGTTCTGTAAATATCCATTAGGTCCCTTTGGTCTATAGTGCAAATTCATTGCAATGTTTCTTTGTTGATTTCCTGTCTGCATAATCTGTCCAGTGCTGAAAGTGGGGTATTAAAGTCTCCAGCTATTATTGTATTGGCATCTATCTTCTTTTTTAGCTCTAATAATATTTTGTTTGTATATCTGGGTGTTCCTGGACCAAACTGAGGGCTGGGCTGCTATTTCTCGTGGCCCAGTAATGAGATGCAGGTGAACTGGGGAGAAAAAGAGTAAGAAGAGTTTTTGTTTTCTGCAACTGGTTACAGGGAGAAGGCCTGGAAATTATCACCAGACCAACTCAAAATTACAAAGTTTTCCAGAGCTTATATACCTTCTAAGCTATATGCCTACATGTAAGTGTGCGTTCATCTAAAGACATAAGGGATTAATTTCTTTTAACCTGTAACTAAGGCCTGAGTCTTGAAGACCTTCTTCTGGAGGCTCAGTAAATTTACTTAATCTTAATGGGTCTAGGTGCTGGGGTGATTACCCTTATCTTATCTCCTCTAAATCATAAAGGTTTGAGGAGTTTCTTTAGACCCCAATAAACGTATTTGTGGAAGCCTGGGGAGTTTCTTCATACCCCCAATAAAACTTGTTTCATCCTAAAAGGGTCCTGTTAAGAATTCCTTCATTATCTTGTCATGCTTCAGGGCCCAGGAAAAGCCTAGGCAAAACTCTTCGTGGGCTCTTTGTTATACAGTCCAGGCTTTGTAGAAGGGCACTGGCTCAATCAGCTTTAAATGTTTAACTTAGTTACACAGTAAGTACTGGGACTATTGTAATGGAGGCCTGAATTAGTGAGACCTGGCTGGCCACAATGGTGCTCCATTGTTGAGTGAATATATATTTATAATTGTTATATCCTCTTTCTGAATTGCCTTCTTTATCATACATAATACCTACTTTTACTCTTGTTATAGTTTTTGTAATGAATTGTATTTTGTCTGACATAAGTATAGCTACTATTGTTCTTTGATGGTTTCTGTTGGCATGGAATTTTTTTTTCATCTCTTTAGTTTCAGACTACATGTGTCTTTAAAGTGTGTTTCTTGTAGGAAACAGATCATTAGGATTTTTTTTAATCCATTCATCTACTCTATGTCTTTTTATTGTTTAGTCCATTTACATTCAATGTTACTGTTGATAAGTAAAGACTTACTCCTACCATGTTGTTATTTGTTTTCTGGTCTTTTCTTCCTTCTTTCCTTCATTTCTGTCTTCCTTTATTAAAGGTAATTTTCTCCAGTCATATGTTTAATTTCTTCCATTTTATTTTTTGTGTATCCATTGTATTTTTTTTTTAATTTGAGGCTACAATGAGGCTTGCAAATAATATCTCATAACCTATTATTTCATACTTCTGTCATTTAACACTGATTTCATAAATAAACAAGCAATAAGAAAACTAATAAAAACTCGATGCTTCAACTTCATCTCCCCTACTTTTTTTGTTTCTATTCTTATATTATTATACTCTTTATGCCTTTTACATTTGCTTTAGTTATAATTTTTGATAAGTTTATCTTTTATTCTTTCAACTGAAGGATATGAGTAGTTGACACACCCCAATTACAGTGTTATAATATTCTGTGTTTTTCTGTGTACTTACTATTACCAGTGACTATTGTACCTTCAGATGATTACTTACTGCTCATTAACATCCTTTTCTTGCAGACTAAATAAATAAGACCCTTTAACATTTCTTTTAGGACAGGTTGGTGTTGATGAAATCCCTCAGCTTTTGTTCATCTGGGAAATAATTTCTCCTTCATGTTTGATGGATATTTTCACTGGATATACTATTCTTACATTTTTTTCCTTTTTTTTTTTTTTTTTTTTTGAGATGGAGTCTTGCTCTGTCACCAGGCTGGAGGGCAGTGGCGCAATCTCGGCTCACTTCAACTTCCGCCTCCTGGGTACAAGCCATTCTCCTGCCTCATCCTCCTGAGTAGCTGGGATTACAGGAGCGCCCCACCATGCCCAGCTAATTTTTGTATTTTTGGTAGAGACGGGGTTTCACCATGTTGGCCAAGATGGTCTCGATCTCTTGACCTCGTGATCTGCCCACCTTGGCCTTCCAAACTGCTGGGATTACAGGCGTGAGCCACCATCCCCGGCCCTTAGATTTTTTTTCTCTTTAGCACTTCAATATGTCATACCACTCTCTCCTGGTCTGTAAGATTTCCACTGAAAAGTCTGCTGATAGACATATTGGAGCATCATTGTATGTTATTTATTTATTTTCTCTTTCTGTTTTTGGAATCCTTTCTTTGCCTTTGACATTTGGATGGTTGATTATTAAATGTTTGGAAGTAGTCCTATTGGATTAAATCTCCTTGGTGTTCTGTAACCTCCTTGTGCTTTAATATTGATATGTTTCTCTAGGTTTGGAAAGTTCTCTGTTATTATCCCTTTGAATAAACTTTCTGCCTCTATTTCTCTCTCTACATCTTCTTTAAGACCAATAACTCTGACATTTGCCCTTTTGAGGCTATTTTCCAGATCCAGTGGGCACACTTTCTTCTTTTGGATTCTCTTTTCTTTTGGCTCCTCTGGGCATGTATTTTAAAATCGCCTGTCTTTTAGCTCACTAATTCTTTCTTCTGCTTGATCAGTTCTCCTTTTAAGAGACTCTGAAGCATTCTTCAACATAATTGAATTTTATAGCTTCAAAATTTCTGCTTTATTCTTTCTGTTTTAATATCTTTGTTAAATTTATATGATAGAATTCTGAATATCTTCTCTCTGTGTGTTATCTTGAATTTCATTGAGCTTCAGCAAAACAACTATTTTGAATATTTTGTTTGAAAGGTCACATATCTCTGTTTCTCCTGGATTGGTCATTGGTGTCTTCATGTTTGTGAATGTTTATCAATATCTGGGCATTGAAGTGTTAGGTATTTATGTAGTCTTCACAGTCTAAGCTTGTTTGTATCCATCCTTCTTGGGAGCAATTCCCAAGTATTCAAAGGGACTTGGATGTTGTGATCTAAGTCTATGATCAGTGAAGCTGTATTTGCATTAATAAGCACTCCAAGCCCAGTAACGCTGTGGCTCTTGTTGACTCAATGAGTACCACCTTAATGGTCTTAGGAAAGATGAGAGAGAATTCTCTGAACTACCAGGCAGAGTATATTGTTCATTTCCCTTACTTTCCTCCAAACAAATGGAGTCTCTCTCTCTCTGTCTGTGTGTGTGTGTGTGTGTGTGTGTGCACGTGCGTGTAGGTGTGTGGAGTTGGGGAAGGAGTGCCACAAGCAACACTGTGGCCACAACCACTGGGACTGTGCTGAGTCAGACCCAAAGCCAGCACAGCACTAGGTCTTTCACCAAGTCCACAGTGGTCACTGCCTGACTAACATTTACTTTCGATCAAGTCCCAAGGGCTCTACTATTAAGTGGTGAATTCCACCAGGTATGTCTCCTTCCTTTCTGGGCAGTGCATCTCCCCTAGACCCTGCTTGGGTTCAGAGATATCATCTAGGAATCAGAGCCTTGATTTGGGAATCTTAGGAATCGACTTAGTGCTCTATTCTACTGTGACTGACCTGGCACCCAAGCCACAAGACAAAGTTCTTCCCACTCTTCCCTCTTCTCTCCTAAAGCAGAGGAATCTCTCCCAATGGCCACCATCACCCCAGGCCTATGGCAAATACTGCCTGGCTATCACAGATGTACACTCAAGGACCAAGGACTCTTCCATCAGATTGTGGTGAATATTGCAAGGCCTGAGTATCCCCCTTCAGTAAAGCAGACTCTCCTGTGGCCCAGTGAGAGCCTGCAAATGCCATCTAGGAGCCAAGGCCTGGAATCAGGAGTTAGATTTTTTTGTGGCCCATCACGTTTCTAGATGTGTCATCCAGGAAATAGGTCTTTGTGACTGGTGCCCTACCCTATTGTGTCTGAGCCAGTATCAAGAGGCAAGACAAAATTCTCCCCACTTTTCTCTCTCCTCTCCTCAAGTGGGGGAAGGGATCTCTCAGAACCTCTTTGAAAATTGTTGTTGTACTTTCATTAATACATTCCTATATAGCACACATGATTCTTATAATTTCTGGCATAGCAATAAAAATAATTTGATATTTTGCCTAAAAGTATTAGTAACATTTAGAAACCTTGATGGAGTTTCCACATGAACAAAGGTTTCATTTTAAAAGTTCAATAAATTGGTTAAGATTTGAACCATCATAAAAACTCTACCAAATGTCACAATAGGTAACAGCATATACTTCACCTAATATCATGAATAATGATTTTGGTGTACAATTATGAATATACTTTTGGTGTATATATATCTTTGCCCTTAACATTTATGTAATGCATTCCTATAGTCTCTTTTTTTTTCCCTGTTGGTCCAATTTATAATTTTGTACTTGTGACAAACCAAGACTGTACCAGAAAATATAATACACTTTCCTCTACTAAAAAGTAATTTGTAGTTAGTGATATTCTACACTATACAGTATTCTACACTAACAATCAGTTAGTTATATTCTACACTATAATGTTAAAATAAAAAATATCAATAATGTTTTTGTCTCGTTTTGTTGTCAGGGCGCTTTGAGAAAGAATGTGAAAAACATGGCAAATCTGTGGAACGCTAAGGAATTCCCACTTAACAAAGCTGAAGGTCACCACATTTGACAAAACTAAGAAAAGATCTAATATATAAAGAGAAACTATCATGGCCCAGGATATAAACTCAAAGTGTACTTACGACACAAAGTATTTTTTGAATTTATTTTAATGTCAAGTGTGAAGCAAAATGTCTTATTTTGAAGCACAATGGCTATAGATACTAATAGGATAAGAGTGATGCTTTGGAGTTTTTCCAAATGTGATTTTTCCAGTTTTGTTCTTTTAACTCAGTATAACTGTGGCTATTTTATATTTTGTGGTTTCATTTAATTTTAGGATTTTGTTTTCTGTTTCTGTTAAGAATATCATTGATAATTTGATAAGGATTGCATTAAATCTATAGATTGCCTTGGGTAGTATGAACTTTTTAACAATACTGATTCTTCTAATCCATGATCATGAAACATCTTTCCATCAACAGAACACAATCCAAAAAAGAAACCAATTAGCTATAAATAAAATTAAAAACCTAGGAATTACTTTAACAAGAGAAGTAAAATATTTCTACAATAAAAACTATAAAACACTGATGAAGGAAATTGAAGGGATTATTCTGCCAATTATTTAGAACTTATGTGCCAGGCCCTTTGCCAAAATTTTGTACTTACTTGACTTTAACAAATAAGACAAAAACAAATTTTAAAGGCCTAATACCCTCAGTTAGTATGTAGTGTAAATTAGACCCTATCCTTGATAACTCTATCAGGCTTCTAACATGTACTTTAAATTTTTCAGTGGATATTTACACTCAAGCCCATATTCTTAAATTCAATCTCTAAAAATTTAAGTAGTTATCTTCCATTCAAAACCTATGTCCTCATCTGTCTCACCCAATTTAATCTATGATAATATAATTTGGTCAAGTACAAGGCTCACAAATTAAAGATGTATTTAAATTTTCTTCTCCTTTTACCTTATCTTCCACACATGTATAATCAACCACCAAGGTCCGTTGTTTCTTCTTTCAAAACATTTTTTCTTATTTTTATGTCTACATTGCAGTACTACTACGACAACTGTATTTTAAACTGTATTTTAAATCAACAGATCTAAAATGATCTCTAAGATAATATCTACCTCTCCCTGATAAAAGAGTTTTTGTTTGAGGTGGAGTTTGTGGGAGGAAATTTGGTCAGTGAGAAGGGAAATATCCTTGTATTTAAAAATTACATTTGGATATTTTAAACACTGTCCTCTAAACTGCAGGTTGTCTCTAACAAACTTGTAAAATTTTACAGCTATAAGAAACCCTAAAAATTATCTAGTCTAACACCCTAATTTCTCAAATGAGAAAACAATTATATAGCAGTTAAATGACCTGTGTGGGGTCTTTCAATTTGTACAAACTTATCTAAATTGTATCTAATTTTCTTTCTTCTGCCTATAGGTCTTATTGTTTGGTTTCATTTGCAAGCTATTTGTGATGTGTGTATGTAAATGTGTGTGTGTCTGTATGTCTTAACATTTTGGTTCTTCTCATACCTCAAATCTAACCATTAATCATGGCCTCAGAAACTTCAGTTCTGAGTAAAGTTTATGCTTGACACTACACATTTTATTCTGTTCATTATATATTCTTGTCTCTGAATTAAACCTTCCCAGATAAAGACAGATTTCTGTAATTTCTACTTAATATCTCAAGCCTATAATTGTATTTTAGAAAGCATTTAATATACCGAAATGTATTTTTTGAACATATGAATGTTAGTTAGAAACCCATAGTTTTCTAAGGGTTTGAAAAATTAATTATCATAATTTTCTAAGCCATAAAGCTTAAACATAGAAATGTAAAATTTCTAGACATTCACCTTTGCCAGTGCCCCTTTTCTAACATTCATGAATTTCTCCCATGCATCTACAAGTTCTTAGAGCTAGTAAGTAGTTACTCTACAATAACCTCACTCATTTTCGGCACCCTAGGAAGCAAGATATTAGGTCTTATGTATTTGAATACATCAGGAATATTCAAATTACTTTTTTAGTAGATCTTCATATAGACTACTGTACCAGCATATTAGATAAATCAGATTAGTAGCTTCCCACAGTAGCTATAAGTTATAGGAGAAGAAATACAATAATTCTTATTCTTTTTTTTTTTTTTTTTTTTTTTGAGACGGAGTCTTGCTCTGTCACCCAGGCTGGAGTGCAGTGGCGCACTCTTGGGTTAAGCTTTTCCTACTGAGTCAAAAAAAAAAGCAAAAAAAAAGCAGTACAATGAATTTCTGACTATTGGACTTTGATATTTCCTATGCCATCATTTAACACATCAAAAATGACTTAACTTTGTATTTTCTGAGGCCTTTATTAAGTTGGTTAACTGTTTTAAAAAATCCTTCATCTAAAGAAAAACCTATTTTTCTTTGGCTTTAAAGTGGTGAATTAAAAAACTAAGATCACTGTCAATATTACTTTATCATATCCTAATGTCTACCATGTCTATTTATACATTTTATACTCATAAAAATCATGGTAAACTCATCTTCATTTCTTTATATTTTAAGGATTATTTTTACTTTATCAAAGATTTTAATAAGTTTAAATATTTATTTAATCCAGTTGCCACCTCTGAACCATGATTTTATTGATATGTTACATATTGATCTGGTAATATACTTCAGCTTTATTCATTGTGATTTATTTGTTTAGTCACTTGGTATATTAAGAAGCTGATTCTGTTTTTTCTGATGTTTACTGCAATGTACATTTCTAAATTCTTAATAGAAATATATTAAACTGCTATTACTGAGAGCATTCTTGGACTCAATACACTTGTAAAATTCATATACAATTTGATATTTTTAACTTACATTAATCTTCAATCTTCCATTTTTAATACAAAAAAATTACAATTTTTTTTTTACTTTAAAAAAATAACACAGAAGAAATTAAAGCCAAAATGAGCAAGAAGTTGTTCATATGTCCAATTAACACCACAGGAGGGGGATGACAAGTTAATTACCACTGTATCTTATATTTTAATTACATAAAAGTAATGAGATGCTCTTAAAACTAATAGAAGGATCAGCATGTTAAAAATAAGTTCCTTCAAAATATTCATGGACTTATACTCCAAGTAAAGTAAAATCCAGCTTTTCTAGAAAAGAAGACAAAAGGTTTACTAAGTTTATGGAAGGTGATATTAACTAAACCAAGAAAGGATTGCATTGTTGAGAGAATGTGTGGCATTGATACTTTCAGAGCAAAATGCTGACATAAAAGGGCAAAAGTTAAACCCGTATGCAAAAGCTAGGTCCTTAATTGTATTTTGGATTTCACTTAGTATTAAAAGGGTATTTTTTCTCATAACCTTTAAAAGCATGAAGGCAACATATATAGAGACTTACCTTGGGGAGATTAAATTATTTTGCATTACAGGGTTTTTATAGCGGTACCCCAACCTTATTTTGAACATCTTAAGATTGCGTTATAATATACAGCATCCAATCATATAGGAGAATGTGACGAAATACTACGGCCCATAAACTTTCTCACACTATGTACTTCTACTGCATTTTAATATGATCTATCTACTTTATTACTAAATCTGACACACTAAATTTTATGGTCTTCAGCAGTGTTGTTAGGATGACTGCCCACTAAATATGAACCTTAAGTGGAGATGTCTACACCTTGATACTGCATTTTCTTTGCTTCAATTAACTTTAGTGCTTACTCTGTTTCAATTAACTGTGTAACATCTGTTAATCAAGTCCCATTATTAATGCAGGGAATTTTTTTCTAAGACATCAATACATGTTTTTTAATATATAGTCTTAATCCTAGCACTTTGGGAGGCCTAGGTGGGTGGATCCCTTGAGGCCAGAAGTTTGAGAGCAGCCTGGCCAGCATGGCAAAACCCCCCATCTCTTCAAAAATTAAAAACAAAACAAAACAAAACAAAAATAGCCGGATGTGGTGGTGCATGCCTGTAATCCCAGCTATTCTGGAGGCTGAGGCAGGAGAATCGCTTGAACCCGGGAGGCAGAGGCTGCAGTGAGACGAGATCACACCACTGCACTCCAGCCTGGGTAACAGAGCAAGACTCTGTCTCAAAAAATAGTAATAATAATATATATATAGTGTTAAGCATGTAGATTACCATACAATGACATTAAAGGTGACTAGACAGAGCAAGCATTAAAGGGCCTAATAAACAATACTAACAGTAAGAATCATTTTTTGTGTTTTCCCAATATTCATAACCATTTTCTCCTCTCTCTTTTACTGTTAGAAGCCAAATTTTGTATGGGACAACATTGTACCAGTCTTAAGCAATGGATCAGAATTTATCATCTAATTCTAGGGGCTGGGCACAGTGGCTCATGCTTGTAATCCCAGCACTTTGGGAGGCCAAGGAAGGCGGATCACCTGAGGTCAGGAGTTTGAGACCACTTGGCTGACATGGTGAAACTCTGTCTCTACTAAAAGCGCCAAAATTAGCTGGGCATTGTGGCGCGTGGCTGTAGTCCCAGCTACTCAGGTGGCTAAGGCAGGAGAATCATGTGAAACCGGGAGGCAAAGGTTGAATTGAGTCAAGATGGTTCCACTGGCCCTTCAGCCTGGGCGACAGAGTAAACCTCCATCTCAGGGGGGAAAAAAAAGAGAATTTTTCTAATTCTATAAGAGCAATGTGTTACCCTATTTCTTAGGCTACATTATAGATATGAGGGTTCATGTGATCCAGTTCTAGAAGAAGTCTGCCAGTTGCCTTTGGACAAGTTTTGTATTTCCCAATTAAATTTTTAAAAATGTAATTCTTTTTTTTTGAGATGGAGGCTCGCTCTGTTGCCCAGGCTGGAGTGCAGTGGCGCGATCTCCGCTCACTGCAAGCTCCGCCTCCCAGGTTCACGCCATTCTCCTGCCTCAGCCTCCCAAGTAGCTGGGACTACAGGCGCCTGCAACCACGCCCGGATAATTTTTTGTATTTTTAGTAGAGACGGGGTTTCACCGTTTTAGCCAAGACGATCTCGATCTCCTGACCTCGTGATCCGCCCGGCTGGGCCTCCCAAATTGCTGGGATTACAGGCGTGAACCACCGCGCCTGGCCAATGTTATTCTTTTTTATTCTCCAGTTCTTCTGCACTGAATGCTGACACAATATCTAGAACTACAGCAGCCATCTTGAGATAAATGAAGGAAACCTAAAAACACCAAGAGACGCATAATAAATGCCAACAGTAAGTACTTCCTGTATTACATTGTTTTGTCTGTGAAAAAAATAAACCAATGTTGACTAAGCAACAGCAGTTGTTTATATTGATATGATTATTATTTACAACAAAAGACACCTCAAATATATATCTTTTCTAAACATAATGTATTAGCCAGCCTTTGGTGCAGTAATAAGTAACTCACAAATCTCATGAATTGTAGTAAACACATATTTATCAGTACTGAGTCTTTGGGTTGGCTATGATTCTATTTAACTCTCTTAATGTTGACTTGGTTTAGATTCAGGCTGAACAGAGTGCTAAGGTTTGCATGATGTGTTTTCCTATCCTAGTACCGAGAATGAATTAATGTCTGTTATATAAAACATTTTATTCTGCAGGTATCTATCAGAACCTCATGAGAAGTGCCAATAATTAGCATTTATTGGACATTTGTATATCACATTTGTTCATATGCCATTGCACAAACAAGTCACATACCTAAGCCTAACATTAATAGGGCATGAAAATATATTCATCCCACAGTAAAAGGGAAGAAAGGGGAGTGAAGATATTTTTAACAATATGCCCTTTACAACAAACGATTTTGAGAATAATTATTATAATTAATAATTATTATGTTATGTTATTCATCTTTATTTTTGTAACTATCAAATCTAATATTCCAAAAGTAAGTATCGAAGTATAATGCTTTATGAAATATTTTACAGAAAAATCTCAGTAAGCATGGTGCTATATCAAGAAAGAATTATTATCAACACAAGGAAATTAATGGCTATAATTGAGGACTAGTGAGTTAATCAACAAATATCACTATGCATATGAATGAGTATATACAGATTGTGTATTTCCATAAAGCTGGAAGAGATTGAGGTTGTCAATTTAAATATCCAATTTTTGGGGAAAAAAGAAACTAAAGTGAGTCACCAGTTCTCACCTTAAAAAATAGATATAGATTATGTCAAGAAAATTTTGATCCAAATGTAGAAGCTGAAGACATGCAAAGTTCTTTTATTATTGATGCCACTGCTTATTCCTAATAAGTAAGGTTATTGTAAATCCCTAAACATATAACTTTATTATCAGAAATTAAAATGTATCCAAATAGCTTTCTCTCTCTCTCTGTCTTTGTATTTCTCTCTCCTCTGCCGATATATAGAGACGCAGATATATAAATACAGATGTTTATATTTTTACATTTACATTTTTGTAATTATTTCTGTATTTATATACAGAGGTATAAATATAGATAAATGACAGTTAATGCAAACATGCTAAGTTTTGAGTACCGGCTTTACTCTTTTAACTTATATTTCATAAAATTCGTAAGAAGTATGGAGATTTAGCTAATCATTTCCTAAAATTATTGAAAAACCAAAGAAGCATAATGATATTTAAATATTTAAAAATCATCAATGTGTGGGCATTGGTCAATCACAAAAGAGAAAATGGTTGGTAATATAACATAGCTGCGAACATCAGATGAGCATCTAACCTCACGATTATTAAAGCACCATTTTCCCACACTCTTATTAACATACACTAGTGAAACAGATACTTTAGATATAGGAGTGATGCAAGAACCTCAAATTTGTTCAATTTCACATTTATATTCAAGCATTTAAGAAGAATAATTAGGTTAGGAACTAGAAATGGGTTATAAAGAGTACCTTGTTTTTGTTAATTGGTGCAAATGATATTTCATAATCAGAAATTAGAAAGCTTGAGTAAGGAAATTTAGTTAAGTTTTTGAAGGTTTAGATTTTTCATCTCAAGGTTTTATAATGTTGACAGTTAAAGTAATTTGGGAAGCAGCAGAAAATTATTTTACCTTTGGAAAAGTAAAGATAAACATAGGAACATGCAAGTATTGCAAGAAGATTATAGTTAATAATATCGTAAGCCCAACTAACAAAAATATTTTCCACAGGCTTGTAGAAAGTAGAATTAAGGCTCATATACAACCAAGACTACTTTATCTGACAACACTGTGCTTCAAAAATGAAGGAGAAATAAAGAATACCCCAGAAGTGTTTACAAATGCTGAGAAAGTACATTACCACCAGATTTGCATTACAAGAAATGCTGAAGAGAGTTCGTCAAGATGAAAGAACACTAAAGAACATCATAAAAGCATAAGAAAGTGAAAGTTTATTGGTAATAACAAACATATACACAAATGCAGAATATTGCTATAACAGCACTGCACAAGTCAATTTTATTCTAATACAGAAGATGAGAAAAGTATAAAAATAACTATAACTTAGGCATAGGTTAATGGATACACAATAGAAGATGTAATTTGTGATGTCCATAACATAATTTGGGGGCAAAATAAAAGAGTAGGGTTTTTGTGTACAATTCAAGTTAAGTTGTTATCAGCTTTAAAAATATATATATATATGTTAGATGTTTTATGTAAGCCAAATGGTAACTGTTATAAAAATTAATGTTTGTGCCTCCCCCCAAATTCATGCTGAAGACCCAATATCATGGTATTTGGAAGTGGCGCTTTGGGGAGGTAATGAGATCAAGAATATGTAGCCTTTGTGAATAGGATTAGTGTTCTTATGAGAGAGATGAGAGACAAATAAGAGAGACGATTTTACTTTGTCTCATGAGGATATATCAGGAAGGCAACTGACTATAAATCAGAATGAGGGCCCTCAGCAAGAACCCAGCCATGGTGACACCCGATCTCAGATTTTTAGCCCTAGAATGGAGATAAATAAATATTTGTTGCTTAAGCTTCCCAGTCTATGATAGTTTACTATAACAGGTAAGACAGTAACATCAAAGAAAATACTGATAGAAGATGCATAAAAGAAAATGATAAAGGAATCAAAGCATGTCACTAAAAAAAAAAAAAAGGAAACACAAAAGACAAAAAGAGGAAAAAAACAAAAAAGCTACAAGACAGACAGAAAACAACAAAATGGCTATAGTAAGTCCCTCCCTGTCAGCAATTGCTTTAAGTGTAGATGGATAGAACCACCCAATGAAAAGAGGAACGCAATGAATTTTTAAAATCCAACGATACATTGCTTACAAGAGATTTACTTTAAAGACACATGTATTGAGAACATTTGTATGTAGAATGTAAAAAAAATAAGAACACACATAGACTGAAAGTGAAAGCGTAGAAGAAAGGTACAGTATGCAAATGGTAGCCAAAAGGGAGCAGGGGTGGCCATACTTATACCAGACTAAATGGACTATAAACTTTAAGTCAAAAACTCTCACAAGAAATAAAGAAGACATTTATGTATATATATTTACATATATGTGTGTATATATATACATATATACATATATATACATACACACACATACACATATACATATATATAAAAGGTTTATTCACCAGGAAGATAAATTATATATATATGTATATATATATGTGTGTGTGTGTGTGTGTGTGTGTGTGTCTGTGTACCCTATAAGAGAGCACCCAAATATATGGAAAAAACATTGACATAAATGAAGGGAAAAATAGACAGTGATAAAATAATAATAGGAGACTTTAATGCTCCATTTTCAATAATGGATGGAACATTTGTATAGACTATAAATAAACGGAGAACATGAACAATATATAGATCAAATGGACCTAACAGACATATACAGAACATTTCACCCAACAGCAATAGAATACACATTCTTCTCAAGTACACATGAAACATTTTTCAAGATAGAGCACATTTGAGGTTACAAAACAAGTCTTAAAAGATTCAGGAGATTTAAATTATACCACGTACTTTTCTAACCATAATAGAATGAAACTAGAAGTAAATAGCGGAAGAAAAATTGGAAGCTTCACAAATATTTGGTAATTAAACATTATTGAACGAGGAGTGATTCAAAGAAGGAATCAAAAGTGAAATTAGAAAACATTTTGAAGCAAATGAAAAAAAAAACTTGCCAAAATATATAGAATGCAGCAAAATCAGTATTAAAAGGGAAGTTCATAGTGTTAAATGCTTACTTCTTTAAAACGAAGAACTATCTCAAATAAACAACCTAACTTTGCACCTCAAGGAACTAGTAAAAGAAAAAGAAAGATAAACAATAACAGAAGAAAGGCAATAATAAAGATTAGAGTAGAATTAAATAAATAAATAGAAAACACTAGAAAAAAATTAAATCTAAGTGTTGTGTTTTGAAAATATCAGAGAAAATAGATACACTTTTAGCTAGAATAAAAAAAAATGAGGGCGAAGACTCGTAAAAAAAATCAGAAATGAAATAGGAGACAACCAATCCCACAAGGAAAAAAATGATCCTAAGAAACTACTGCAAAGCATTATACAACAACAAATTTGACAGCCTAGAAGAAATACATGTATCTCTAGAAATATACAAACCACAATGACTAAACCATGAAAACAGTCTGAACTAGAAGAAGATTGAATCATTCATCAGAACACTACCAACAAGAGCCGAGGACAATATGGCTTCACTGGTGAATTCAACCTAATATTTAAAGAATTAACAACAATTCTCTAGTTTACGATTCTTCCACAAATTTGAAAAAGATGGAAATCTTCTAAACTCAATTGTTAAAGTCAGTATTACCCTCATGCCAAAGACAAAGACACTATAAGAAAGAGGAACTACAAGCAAATATCCCTAATGAACATGGATATAAAAATTCTAGAAAACCAAATTCCACAGCATGTTAAAAGGATTCTACACCATGATCAAGCTAAATGTATCACTGGGATATAAAAATGTTTCAGCATATGAAAATCAAACAATGTAATACAACACATTAGAAGAAAGAAGGATGAAGATCACATGATCATTTTAATAGATACAGAAAAAGCATTTGATAAAACACAAAAGCCATTTAAGTTAAATGCTAACAATATGGAGAAAAAAGAAATTTTCTCAACACAGTAAAGGCTATTTATAAAAAATCCACAACTAATATTATACTTACTGGTGAAGGACTGAAAGTTTTTCCTTATGATCAGGAACAAAGGAATAGCAACCAAAGGATGTCCATATTTGTCACTTCAATTAAGCAGAATAATATGAAGTCTAGCTAGAGCAATTGGCAAGAAAAATAAATAAAGGCATTTACATCGAAATGAAAAAAGTAAAATTATCTCTGTTCAAAGATGACATGATCTTATATATATAAAATTCTAAAATTCCACATAAAACTTGTAAAAACTAATAAATTCAGAAACTGTGCAGAATATAAAATCAACCTACAAAAAGTAGTTACATTTATGTATACTAGCAACAAAAATAGGTAAATAAAATTAAGAAAACAATGCAATTTACACCAACACCAACAAGAATAAAAACCTAGAAATAAATTTAACCAAGGAGGTAAAAGATTTGTACAGTAAAAACTATGAAATATTGCTGAAGAAAACTAAAAAAGACACAAATGGATGAAAAGACATCCTATGTTCATGGGTTAGAAGAATTAATATTGTTAAAATGCCTTATACTACCAAAAGCAATTTACAGATTCAATGCAAATTCTATAAAAAACCTAATGTTTTTCAATAGGACTCATTTGTTTTTCACAAAAATACAAAAAAATAATAATTCATGTGGAACCACAAGGGATGCTAAATAACCAAAACAGTTTTGAGAAAGAAGACCATAGATGAGGGTTTCCAACTTTCTGATTAAAAGATATATTACAAATCAGTAGGAATCAAGCCCGTATGATGTTGGCATAAAGACAGACACTTGATAATTGAAGTAAAACAAAGAGCTCCAAACTAAATCCATGGATATACTGTAAAACGATCTTTAACAAGGGTGCCAAAACTACACGATGGTGAAATGATATCTCTTAAACCAATGGTGCTGGGATACCAGATAGCCACTTAAAAAAAAGTTGGACCAGCCGGGCACGGTGGCTCACGCCTGTAATCCCAGCACTTTGGGAGGCTGAGGCGGGCGGATCACCTGAGGTCAGGAGTTCGAGACGAGCCTCAACATGGAGAAACCCCGTCTCTACTAAAAATACAAAATTAGCCGGGCGTGGTGGTGCATGCCTGTAATCCCGGCTACTCGGGAGGCTGAGGCAGGAGAATCGCTTGAACCCGGGAGGCGGAGGTTGCGGTGAGCCGAGATCATGCCATTGCACTCCAGCCTGGGCAACAAGAGCAAAACTCCGTCTCAAAAAAGAAAAAAAAAAAAAAGTTGGACCATTATTATAATCTCTGAAATAAAAGCATAGATAAAAATCTTTATAATACTGGCCTTGACAATGAATTTCTTGGATCTAACACAAAAAGTACAGGCAGAAAAATTTTTTAAAAAGTGGGACTATATCAAACCACAAAGCTCCATATAGCATAAAAAATAAGCAGCAGAGTGAAAAGGCAATGGACAGAATGGGAGATAATATTTGCATATGATGTATTTGATAAAAGATTAATATGCAAAGTATAAAAGCTCCTAAAAATCAATAGCAAAATCCAAATAATCCCATTTAAAATGAGCAAAGTACTTGGATAGCTATTTCTTCAAAAAGAACATGTAAATGACCAAGTTTATAAAAAGATGCTAAACATTACTAATTCCTAGGGTCTGAATATTTATGTCTCCCTAAAGTTCATATGTTAAAATTCTCCCACCCAAATTGATGGTATTAGGAAGTGGGAAGTTTAGGAGGTGATTCAGTCACGGGGGGTGAAACCCTCATGAATGAGATTAGTGCCCTTATAAAAAGAGTCCTGAGAGAAACCACTCACCCCTTCTTCCTTGTAAAGACAGAGAGAAGTCAGTAGTCTATAACCCAAAAGAAAGCCATGACCAGGACCTGACCATGCTGGCACTTGGATCTCAAACTACAGTCTCTAGAACAATGAAGAATTAATTGATAATGTTTATAAGCTATCCAGTTTGTGATATTTTGTATACCAGTCCAAATGGACTGTGACCCTAATCACCAGGGAAATGCAAATCAAAATTGTAATAACTGGTAGAGCCACCAAATGCACACACTTGGTGAATGCCTACCTGCCAAGACCTAATATCTGGCCTTCCTGGAGCCCCCCACCCTCAGCAAAGCCACACCAGTGCCTCCACAAATACCCACAGTCTAAGCAATTGAGACACCTGTAGACACTGCTGACACTGGTTAAAGACAAAGAATTTACACAGAGACTACACTACTGTGCATACCCAGAATTAAAGCCAAAGCACCCTACCCAACTGACACTATAGAACAAATTTACAGGAAAATGTCTTTTCCTGTGAAAGTTACTCCATAAAATTGAAAGAGGCAAATGCTTCATCAAGTGTGCAGACACCAACATAGTTACAAAAGAAATATAAAAAAGTAAGAAAACATAATATCTCTAAAGAAATATAACCACTTTCCAGTAACAGACACTTCAAAACAAGGTACCTATAAAATACTTGAAAGGCAGTGCAAAATAATGATCTTAAGGCAACTCTGTGAGATACAAGAGAATACAAATAAACAATTCATTGAAACCAGGTAAATAATTCATGACATGAATGAGAATTTATGCAAAGAGATATAAATCATAAGAAAGACCCAACAGAAATCTTAAAGCTAAATAATTCAATAGATAAAAAATACAATAAAAAGCATGAATAGACTAGATAAAGCAGAAAAAAATAATGTCTGAATTTGAAACTATGTCTTTTGAAATATCCCAGTCAGATGAAAAATAAAGTAAAAAGAATGAAGAAAGCCTGTAAGACTCATGGGACAATATTAAGCAGACAAACCTAACCATGACACTCAAGGAAATACAAATGCAAGAACAGTCCAAACCCAAAACTAGTAAAAGGAAAGAAATATTGAATAAGAGAGTAGAAATAAATGAAATATAAATTTGAAAAATAAATACAAAATATAAATAAAACAGTTTTTAAATGGTAAATTTAACAAACCATTTGCTAAACTAAGTGAGAAAAAAGATAGAAAACCCAAATAATCTGGACCAAGTGGACCTGATAGACATCTACAGAACTCTCCACCCCTAATCAAGAAAATATACATTCTTCTCAGCACTGCATAGCACTTATTCTAAAATTGACCACATAATTGGAAGTAAAACACTTTTCAGCAAATGCAAAAGAGTGGATATCATAACAAACAGTCTCTCAGACCACAGCACAATCAAATTAGAATTCAGGATTAAGAAACTCACTCAGAACTGCACAACATGGAAACTGAACAACCTCCTCCTGAATGAATACTGAGTAAATAATGAAATAAAGGCAGAAATAAACTTCTTTGAAACCAATGAGAACAAAGACACAATGTACCAGAATCTCTGGGACGCAGCTAAAGCAGTGTTAAGAGGGGAACTTATAGCACTAAATGCCGATATCAGAAAGCAGGAAAGATCTGAAATCAACACCCTAACATCACAATTAAAAGAACTAGAGAAGCAAGAGCAAACAAATTCAAAAGCTAGCAGAAGACAAGAAAGAACTAAGATCAGAGCAGAACTGAAGAAAATAGAGACACAAAAAACATTTAAAAAAATCAATGAATCCAGGAGGTTGTTTTTTGAAGAGATTAACAAAATAGACCACTAGCTAGACTAATAAGAAAAGAGAGAAGAATCAAATAGACACAATAAAAAATGATAAAATGGATATCACCACTGATCCCATAGTAATACAAACTACCATCAGAGAATACTATAAACACTCTACATAAATAAACTAGAAAATGGAGAAGAAATGGATAAATTCCTGGATACATACATCATCCAAAGAATAAACCAGGAAGAAGTCCTCGAATAGACCAATAATAAATTCTGAAATTGAGGCAGTAATTTATAACCTGCAAACCAAAAAAAGCCCAGGACCAGATGGATTCACAGCCAAATTCTACCAGAAATACAAAGAGGAGCTGGTACCATTCCTTCTGAAACTATCCCAAACAACAGAAAAAGAGAGACTCCTCCCTAACTCGTTTTATGAAGCCAGCATCATCTGGATACCAAAACCTGGCAGAGACACAACAAAAAAAGAAAATTTCAGGCAAATATCCCTGATGAACATTGATATGAAAATCCTCAATAAAATACTGGCAAACCGAATCCAGCAGCACATCAAAAACTTATCCACCACAATCAAGTTGGCTTCATCCCTGGAATGCAAAGCTGGTTAAACATATGCAAATCAATAAACATAATCCATCACATACACAGAATCAATGACAAAAACTATATGATTATCTCAATAGATGCAGAAAAGGTCTTTGATAAAATTAAACATCCCTTCTTGCTAAAAACTCTCAATAAACACAGTGTTGATAGAACATATCTCAAAATAATAAGAGCTATTTATGACAAACCCATAGCCATTATCATACTGAATGGCAAAAGCTGGAAGCATTCCCTTTGAAAACCAGCACCAGACAAGGATGCCCTCTCTCACCACTCCTATTCAACATAGTATTGGAAGTTCTGGGCAGGGCAATCAGGCAAGAGAAGGAAATAAAGGGTATTAGGAATAGAGGAAGTCAAATTGTCTCTGTTTGCAAATGACTTGATCTTATATTTAGAAAACCCCATTGTTTCAGCCCCCAAAATACTTAAGCTGATAAGCAACTTCATGAAAGTCTCAGGGTACAAAATCAATGTGCAAAAATCACAAACGTTCCTATACACCAATAATAGACAAGCAGAGAGCCAAATCATGGGTGAACTCCCATTCACAATTGCTACAAAGACAATAAAATACGCCTGTAATCCCAGCACTTTGGGAGGCCGAGGCGGGTGGATCATGAGGTCAGGAGATCGAGACCATCCTGGCTAACAAGGTGAAACCCCATCTCTACTAAAAATACAAAAAATTAGCCGGGCGCGGTGGCGGGCGCCTGTAGTCCCAGCTACTCGGGAGGCTGAGGCAGGAGAATGGCGTGAACCCGGGAAGCGGAGCTTGCAGTGAGCCGAGATTGCGCCACTGCAGTCCGCAGTCCGGCCTGGGCGACAGAGCGAGACTCCGTCTCAAAAAAAAAAAAAAAGACAATAAAATACTTAGGAATACAACTTACAAGGGACATGAAGGACGTCTTCAACAAGAAGTATAAACAAATAGAAAAACATTCCAGGCTCATGGATAGGAAGAGTCAATATCATAAAATTGGCCATAGTATCCAAAGTAATTTATAAATTTAATGCTATTCACATCAAGCTGCCATTGACTTTATTCACAGAATTAGTAAAAACTACTTTAAATTTTATATGGAACCAAAAAAGAGCCCATATAGCCAAGACAATCCTAAGCAAAAAGAAAAAAGCTGGAAGCATCATGCTACCTGACTTCAAACTATACTACAAAGCTACAGTAACCAAAACAGCATGGTACTGGTACCAAAACAGACATATAGACCAACGGGAAAGAACAGAGACCTCAGAAATAACACCACACATCTACAACCATCTGATCTTTGACAAACCTGACAAAGACAAGCAATGGGGAAAAGATTCCCTATTTAATAGATGGTGCTGGGAAAACTGACTAGCCATATGCAGAAAACAGAAACTGGACCCTTCCTTATACTTTATACAAAAACTAACTCAAGATGGATTAAAGATTTAAATATAAAACCCAAAACCATAAAAACCCTAGAAGAAATCCTAGGCAATACTATTCATGACATAGGCACAGGCAAAGACTTCAGGACTAAAACACCAAAAGCAATTGCAATAAAAGCCAAAATTGACAAATGTGATCTAATTAAACTAAAGAGCTTCCGCACAGCGAATGAAACTATCATCAGAGTGAAGAGGCCATCTACAGAATGCAAGCAAATTTTTGCAATCTATCCATCTTACAAAGGTCTAACATCCAGAATCTAGAAAGAATTTAAACAAATATATAAGAAAAAAAAACATTGAAAAGTGTGCAAAGGATATGAACAGACACTTCTCAAAAGAAGACATTTATGCAGTCAACAAACATAAAAAAAGCTCATCCTCACTGGTCATTAGAGAAATGCAAATCAAAATTACAATGAAATACCATTTCGCACCAGTTAGAATGGTGATTATTAAAAGGTCAGGAAACAACAGATTCTAGTGAGGCTGTGGAGAAATAGAAAAGCTTTTACACTCTTGGTGGGAGTGTAAATTAGTTCAACCATTGTGGAAGACAGTGTGGCAATTCCTCAAGGATCTAGAACCAGAAATACCATTTGACACAGCAATCCCATTACTGGGTATATACCCAGAGGATTATAAATCCTTCTACTATAAAGACACATGCACACATATGTTTACTGCAGCACTATTTACAATAGCAAAGACTTGGAACCAACCTAAATGCCCATCAATGATAGACTGGATAAAGAAAATATGGCAAATACATACCATGGAATACTATGAAACCATAAAAAAGAATGAGTTCATGTCCTTTGCAGGGACGTGGATGAAGCTGGAAGCCATCATTCTCGGCAAACTAACACAGGAACAGAAAACCAAACACTGCATGTCGTCACTCATAAGTGGGAGTTGAACAATGAGAACACATGGACACAGGGAGGGAACATCACACATGGGGGCCCATCGTGGGGGAGTTTGGGGCAAGGGGAGAGAGAGCATTAGGACAAATACTTAATTCATGCAGGGCTTAAAACCTAGATGATGGGTTGATAGGTGCAGCAAACCACCATGGAACATGTCTACCTATGTAAGAAACCTGCACGCTCTGCACGTGTATCCCAGAACGTAAAGTAAAATTAAAAAAAAAAAAAAAAAGTTCTGAATAGGAAAAAAATTAACCCAAATAAAATCAGGAACAAAAAGGAGATATTATTTCTAATACCTTTGCATATAAATGCAAAGAATAAGGAAGGATTATTATTAACAACTATACATCAACAAATTGGAAAATCTAAATTTCTGTACAAATACAAGATACCTACATTGAACCATAAGGAAATTAAAAGACTGAACAAACCAAAACAAGTAATGAAGTAGAATGAGTAATAAAATTTCTACTAACAAAGAAAAGCCCAGGACTGATGGCTTTGCAGCTCAATTCTACCACATATTTAAAGAAAAACTAACACCAATTATTCTTAAATTATTCCAAAAAAAAATGAGGAGAAAATTCTTTCAAACTCATTCTATGAGGCCAGCCTGAACCTGATACCCAAACCAGATAAGGACACAACAACAACAACAACAACAACATAACTACAGGCCAATAACTTTGATAAAAATAGATGCAAAAATCCTCAACAAAACACTATCAAAACAAATCCAGCAGCACACTAAAAAGATGATACACTACGATCAAGTGAGATTTACCTCAAGCTTGCAAAGATGGTTTAACATACGCAAATCGATAAACATAATATATCACATCAACAGAATGAAGGGAAAAAAATAAGATTGTCTCAATAGACACAGAATAAGCAATTAATAAATGTCAACATTTTTCCATGATAAAAAATTCAACCAATTAGATATGCAAGGAATATTCCTCAATTCAATTAAGACCACATATGAGAAATCCACAACTAGTTTTATAATGAATAGGAAAAAGTTGAAAGCCCCTTCTATAAGAACTGAAACAAATGGCCAGGTGCAGTGGCTCTTGCCTGTAATCCTAGCACTTTGGGAGGCCGAGGTGGGCAGATCACGAGGTCAGGAGTTCAAGGCCAGCCTGGCAAGCATGGTGAAACCCCGTCTCTACTAAAAATACAAAAATTAGCCGGGCATGGTGGTGCACACCTGTAGTCCCAGCTACTCAGGAGACTGAGGCAGGAGAATTGCTAGAACCCGGGAGGCGGAGGTTGCAGTGAGCCAAGATCATGCCACTGCACTCCAGCCTGGGCAACAGAGCGAGTGTCTGTCTCAAAAAAAAAAAAAAAAAAAAAGAACTGAAACAAACAAGAATACCACTTTCACCACTCTTATTCAACATAGTACTAGAGGTCTTAGCCAATGCAATCAGGCAAGAGAAAAACACAGAATATAGAGCATCCAAATTGGAATAACAGGGAGTCAAATTTTTCCTGTTTGTAGATTCTGAATATTAGTCCTTTATTGGATGCATAGATTGTGAGTATTTTCTCCCAATCTGTGGGTTGTCTTTCCTCTGCTGATTATATCTTTTTCTGTGCAGAAGCTTTTCAGTTAAATTAAGTCCCCTCTGTTTATCTTTGTTTTTGCTGCATTTGTTTTTAGGTTCTTGGTCATGAACTCTTTGCCTTAGCCAACATCTAGAAGAGTTTTTCCAAGGTTATCTTCTAGAATTTTTATGGTTTCAGGTCTTAGATTTAAGTCTTTGATCCATTTTGAGTTCATTTTCTATAAAGTGAGAGATGACGATCCAGTTTCATTTTTCTGCGTGTGGCTTGCCAATAAACCAAGCACCATATGTCAAATAGGGTGGACTTTCTCCACTTTGTTTTTGTTTGCTTTGTTGAAGATCAGTTGGCTGTAAGTATTTGGATAAATAAAAGGTGGTATATCCTCACAGAGGGATACTATTTAGCAATAAAAAGGAATGAAATTCTAATAAATGCTGCAATGGCAATAAACCTTGTAAACATGTGAAAGAAAACAGTAACAAAAGGCTTCGTGTTGTATGATTCCGTATGCATGCAGTGTTCAAAACAGACAAGTTATGTAGAGACAGAAAGCAGATTAGTGGTTACCTAGGGCTAGGAGGGTTGGAAGAAGATGAGGAGGGACTTCCAATGGGTTTTTGGTTTGTTTAGGAGGTGGTGAAAATGTTCTGGAATTAGATATTGGTAATTGCTGTGCAACTTTGTGAATATCTTAAACAATGTTTGAATTCTACATTTTATTTTACTGTATTGTTATTTATTTATTTATTTATTTATTTTTGAGAGAGAGAGTCTCATTCTGTCACCCAAGCTGGAGTGCAGTGGCATGATCTCAGCTCACCACAACCTCTGCCTCCCTCTGCCTCCCGGGTTAAAGTGATTCTCGTGCCTCAGCCTCCCGAGTACCTGGGATTACAGGCATGCACCATCATGCCTGGATAATTTTTGTATTTTTTAGCAGAGACGGGATTTTGCCATGTTGGCCAGGCTGATCTCGAACTCCTGACCTCAGGTGCTCCACCTGCCTCGGCCTCCCAAAGTGCTGGGATCACAGGGGTGAGCCACCGCACCTGGCTGAATTGTAAATTTTAAATTGTTGGGTTATATGACATGTGAATTGTAAAAACTGGTAAAATAGCCAAAAAAAAAAAAAAAAGAAGAAGAAGAAGGAGTAAGTTTTAGGGCTCTATACCACTACAGAGTCACTATAGTTAACATTAATTTATTGTATATTTTGCAATAGCTAGAAAATAGGATTTTGAATGATCCTACCATGAAGAAATGATGTTTGAGATTATTGATATGCTAATCACTGATTTGATCACTACATATTGTATACATGTAACAAAATATTACACTGCATTCCACAAATATGTACAAAAATTGTCAATTAAAATACTCTTTCAGAAAACATAGAAAATAACGTGTTGGCAGGGTAGTGGAAAAATTGAAACACTTGTGCATTGCTGGTGGGAATGTACAATGGCAAAATCTTTCTTTTTTTTTTTTTTTTTTTTTGAGACCGAGCCTTGCTCTGTCACGCAGGCTGGAGTGCAGTGGTGCGATCTCAGTTCACTGCAACCTCCACATCCCGGGTTCAAGTGATTCTCCTGCCTCAGCCTCCCAAGTAGCTGGGACTACAGGTGCACGCCAATGGTACAATCTTTATGGAAAACATATGACAGCTCCTCAACAACTTAAACATAAAATTACCATATTTCAATTATGTTAAATTGCCATATGTTTAATTCTATTAAACATAGAATTACCATAAGCTTACATACAATATATTCCATCTATTCAACTGTAATTATGACAGCTCCTCTACAACTTAAAACATAGAATTACCATACTTTTAATTATATTAAATATGAAATTACCATGTTTAATTCTATTAAACACAGAATTACCATAAGCATACATACAATATATTCCATCTATTCAACTGTAATTTTGTCCAGATTTTACTTTTGTGTATATGCCAAAAAGAAAGCAGAGACTCAAAAAGATAGTATTTTTTCTCCCATGTTCAGAGCAGCTACATTCACAATACCAAAGTGTGGAAGCATTGCAAATATCCATGGAGAGATGAATTGATGAAGAAAATGTGGTATATAAATTCAATGGAGTATTATTCAGCCTTAAAAAAATGAAGACAATTATGACACATGTTACAACATGGGGTAACACTAATGGTGTTGCGGTAACTTAAATAAGCCAGTCAGAAAAAGACAAATACTCTATAATTTTACTTAGATTCGGTTCCTGGTATAGCCTAATTTGTGATGACAGAAAGTAGAACGGTTGTTGTAAGAACAAGGGTAAAGGGAGAATGGGCAATGTTTATGGGAATTAAGATTTGGTTTGTGAAGATGAAAAAAGTTCTGGACATGGATGGTGGTGATGGTTGCAGAATATTATAAATGTATTTGATTCTACTGAATCGAACAATTAAAAATGGTTAAAACGGTAAAACTCACATATATTCACCAGTATAAAAGTATAAACAAAATCCTCCAAAGTTGCAATGAAATATATCACCTTAAACCTGTTAGGATGGCCATTTTCACAAAAACAGAAAATTACAAGTGTTGATGAGGATGTAGGGAATTTGGACCCTTGTGCACTGCTGATGAAAACGTAAAGTGGAATATTCAGTATGGGAAATACTATGTAGTTTCCTCAAAAAATTAGAAATAGCACTACCATATAATCCAGTAATCCTAATACTGGATATTTATCTAAAATAATTCAAAGCTGGATCCCAGTGGTATTTACACTTTATGTTCATTATAGCCTTAATCAAAATAGCCAAGAGGTGGAAAGAACCTTAATTTTTATACACAGATAAATGTATAAGGAATATATGTATACACCCACACACACAATGGGATATTATTGAACCATATAAAAGGAAAAATTGTCATATGCTATAATATGGATGAACCTGGAGGGACATTATCCTAGGTGAAATAAGCTAGTCACAGACAAATATTATATGATTCTACTTGTTTGAGGGATCTTAAATATTCAAACTCATAGAAGCAGAAAGTAGAATGATGGTTGTCAGGGGCTGAGGGAAGTGGGAAATAGGCATTTTCTGTGTAGTGAGTAGAGTCTCAGTCCTCCAAAATGAAAATATTCTTGACATCGGTTGTAAAAAAAGTGCATATAGTTAATGATATTGTACTGTATGCTTAAAAATTTGCTAAAAGGGTAGATTTCATATGAGGTGTCTTTTACCATAATAAAAAATAATTAAAAAAAGAAACCTTATGATTCAAGTAATGGTATTACATGAACATCAACAATCAGGAGATACCTTATTTTATGTCATCTCAAGATATTTGGCTTTTAATCTTTATTTTAATTTTTCTCAATATTTGAGCTTTATTGGAATTTATTCTACATAAATTCCATTTACGTAGAAATTGTCAAGAGGGGGGCTTGTTTGGCACACAGGTCCCTGGGCCCCACTGCGCTTTTAATAATTCAGTCTTTGGTACTGGGAACTGAACAACCTGCATTTTAAAAAAGTGTCCAGTGTTCATAGCATATTTATTCACAATAGACAAAATGTGGAAGCAACACAAATATTCATGGAGAGATGAATGGATAAAGAAAATATGGTATATACATAAATTGGAATATAATTCCAAGGAATTCATACGTACAGTAAATTTGAGACCATTGGATGTGAGCAATAACAATTAATTTTGCTTTACATAAGAAAATAAAATAATCATAATTCAAGTTTAGAAAATATTACTCAAATATCAGTGTGGAGAATAGATTAAAGGAGAGCAAAACTGGAGTCCTGGACATCAATTTGAAAAACTTTGTAATGCCTTAGGCATGAGGTAATGACAGACCATGGTTAAGGAAAGAAGAAAGTAACGAATCATTTAGGAAATTCTAAGGAACTAAACTACAGAGAGTCTGATGCCTAGTTACATATTGACAATAAGGAAAATGGAGAAGGCCAATTTCTGACTTGAGTGACTAGATGGATAATTATAACATTTATCAATATACAAAATATAAAAGGAGCAACAAGTCTGATTTAGAGATCACTAATTCAAGATAGTATTTGTTAAATCTAAAATATGAAGTATTCAAATAGAGCTATCAATAAGCAGGCAGATATATTTATTAGGGAAGACGTGACAGCTGGAGAGGCAGTTCTGAGAGGTACCAGCATATTAGGTGGCATTTGAAACTATGGGGGCCCACGGCACCAAGCACAGAATGTGTATAGAGTAAGAACACACTGCATATCATAATAGACCTTAAAGGACACCAATATTTCAAGTGAAGGTAAAGAAAGAGCAGACTATGGAGAAGAAAAATATAGAATGTTCACAGATGTTAGCAGAATAAGGAAGTAATAATGCCCATGAAACCAAGGGAAAAAATAATTTAAATGAGGAATATCAACAATATAAAATGGCATACAAGATTAAGGTAAGGAAAAGAACAGGATGTGTTACTAGACCCTCATCAATAATTTGAGATAACTCAAAAAGAGAAGAATATGTATTTGAGATACAGTCATTTCAACACTATTTTCATTTTATGCTATTCTTCAGTAAATAGTGGGATTTGTATAATGTAATTTATCTTAAACTGAATTTCATGGGTTCTTATTTATAATTGTGCCAAAACTACCTTATAATAATTATAATCTTGCTTAACATAATTACGATACTACCTGGTTATGAATATCTGGTGTTAATTTTACACTTGGCTAAAAACGCAGAATGGCCATTTACATTTTGTATGGCTAAGCTTTATATAGTATAACACAAATACTAACATTATACAAGCTCTCATTTTTTTACTGTACATATGAAATTTCTTTCTGACCTTAAATGTAATACCCTATATTATATTGGAATTTTTATTTTCTTTTAGAAAGTCTCAGAGTAAATGTTCTCAACTAATTCAAATACAATCCATTTCATGTACAATATAATTGGCTGCCTCATTTTAGCATTATATGAGATGAAAATGTGAGAGAAGGTCACTTGGGTTTCAAGTAATTAATAATTAGAAGTTTTTATATTGTACAGCAGTCCCTTTACATTACTGGACCATTGATATAAGAAAATTATATATTTTCCAAATCTCTTACATTATGATTTATTTTTATTTTTTTAAATAATTTAAATCTAATAGGAAAAATAATATGTGTATTCAAATCACAATCTTGAACCTTGAAATTTTTTTACTTGGCATTTTCCCCACATTTCCTAATATTCACAATTTAGAGAAAGCACTCAATAACTGCATGCTGTATGAAATATGAGCAGAATATGATGAGATGAAATCAAATAATAATAAGATAATTTGTATAGGTTCTAATTATCTAAGTAAGGGTGTTGGTGATGCATTGTTCATTACAGCACATACGGCAGTTTCTCTGATTTCATTTGACAATATACTCAACAGAAGTAGAAATATGGTGATGTAGTTAACAAAAATGCAACCTTGAGCTGTATATCATCAAAGAGTATGCAGACTGGGATAAATGTCACTGCACTTTATTTTGTGCTGGAAAAACTATACCTCGAGATTATTTAGTTCTCGATACTAGGAATTTGAGAGCATGTACTAGAACATTTTTATATAACACACATATGATGGATAAGTTTAAAAAGCATATAATACATGCCCTGATTTCTTTTGATAGAGATATAATAGTAAATACAGCAAAATAAACTCTTAAAGTAGCCAGAGAGTCTAATAGTAGTGGGCGATATTACTTTATGTAACTTTGTACAACCACATTAAATTCAAGGGTTAAAATGCCTCAGCCTGAAAATTAACTTTCTTAATGAATGTAGCCTCCCTATTTACTCTTTCCTGTGGTCCCCTGTAGTTTTATCTCACACTGACCCTCCTCATTATTAAATTCAGATGTATCCATGGAGGAAAATAGGCAACAAAAATTCTCCAAGAGGGCAAAACCAGTGCCCATGGATTTCCATGGAAGAATATTTTTTCAGAAAACCCAGGAAAAGACTCCACACTTATGGCAGTTAGTCTTTATTATTCCTGTTCAGTAAAATATGTGCCATGAATCAGTGATTACTTTATGTTTTCCTTTCTCTACTGTACAGGATGAGGACTTTGGTAGTAGTTGTACTCTAAGTTCTTGACAGCTGTGTATACTGGGCTATTAATGGAAGATCACTTGTCTTTTAACTATGGTTCAGCATGTGAAAAAAAAATCTACACCTGATTCTGTTTTAAAGACCTTAATATAATATAGAGATGTTGAAAATTGAACTTAATGCCATAACCCACTCCAACTTTGGAGTTAGGCAAGTGGGTGAGTAAATAGAGATATGTGTGCTACCATTTGTAGAAATGTATATGTAATACAAGCAATCAGATTAAATATTGGGCATCAAAGGGCAGAATAAAGCAGAAACTGTTATTACCTACTAAATGTTTATTCCTTTCTTCATTCTTAACTGTATCCCAATTTATTTGTCAATTGGCATTGATCCATTTTAAAATATAAGATGTGTTTGCTTTAAGACAAAAGCTAGGTAAGAATTTAGTAAATGATAAATATGCTCTATAATAAAGTAAATTGGTCAAAAATTGTGCCATGACAATTGAAAAAACGGATTATGTTTTGCTCATTAAAGAATAATGGACTTTTTAGATTAACCATGCTGCATTCAAGTCTCAGTTTTTCTACTGGCAAGTTTTGTATTCTTAGGTCCTCTTGGGGCTTTAATTTATTCACTTTTAGAAGTTGTATAATAATATTATGTCCCATCTGTGTTGCCATAAAAATTAAATGGAATAGTAGACATAAAAATCCAACACAGTATTGCTTATTATATTAGACTTTTTTCCTTTCTCAATTGTCCATTCATCTCATGAAATGTCACGTCACTTGTCATCATTCTCAGAACATAAAAGACACTCATAAGTGCTTGTTCAATGAATGGATGAGTGCATGAATGAACTTAGTATGAGTAAAGGCTTCCTCTGAAGTTAAAGAAAAACAAAAAATATATGAGCAATGTATGAACTTAGGATAACTGATTATTTTCCAAGTCTAGGAGAGATAATCGCACCCTCCATTCTTATAGGAATCTAGTACCACAAATTCCTAAGTACTTCTTATTATTTTATTTAACAAATATTTATTGAGCACTTACTGTGTTCCAGAAACTACTGAGTACAGTGGAAACAAAGCAGTGAGAAGAGCAGACAAATATATCTACCTGCACAAAGCTTGCATTTTAATTGGTGAATATAAACATTAAACCATTTTTTAAATTCCAGATATGGTAGTAGGTGCCATGAAGAAAAATAAAGCAGAGAAGGAGGCAAGAAGTGGGATGGAGATTGCCATTTTATGTAGCAAAACCAGGGAAGGCTTCACTGGAAAGATGACATTGGAAAAAGGACCTTTTTTTTTTTCTTTTTTTTTTCAGGCTGGAGTGCGGTGGCACCATCTCGGCTCACTGCAACCTCCACCTTACACGTTCAACTGATTCTCCGGCATCAGCCTCCTGAGTAGCTAGGGTTACAGGCACACACCACCATGCCTGGCTAATTTTTGTATTTTTAGTACAGACAGGGTTTGACCATGTTGGCCAAGCTGGTCTTGAACTCCCAACCTCAAGTGATCCACCCGCCTTGGCCTCCCAAAGTGCTGGGATTACAGGCGAGAGCCACAGCGCCCAGCCTGGGAAAGTTTGTTTGTTTGTTTGTTTGTTTGTTTACAGAAGAGTCTCCCTCTGTTGTCCAGGCTGTAGTGCAATGGTGTGATCTCCGCTCACTGCAACCTCCGCCTCCCAGGTTCAAGCCATTCTCCTGCCTTAGCCTCCTGAGTAATTGAGGTTACAGACACGTGCCACCACACCTGGGTAGTTTTTGTATTTTTAGTAGAGACGGGATTTCACCATGTTGGCCAGGCTGGTCTCTAACTCTTGACCTCGTGATCCACCCACCTCGGACTCCCAAAGTGCTGGGATTACAGGCATGAGCCACTGGGCCCGGCTGGAAAAGGTATCTTAAGTGAAAATTATATATATGATTATCTTGGGGAAAGTGTCCAAAATAGAGAAAAGAACTAGTAAAAAAGAACTGAGCTAAGAGTATAACTGGTGTGTGTTTGAGGCACAATATGAAAGCCAATGTGGATAGAGTGAATGAACAAGGAGAATATAAGTTAGTGAAGAGATATAGGAAAAAAAAAAAAGGTGGTGATCAGATCTTGTAGCCATTGTAGGCCATGTTTTAAACATTGACTTGTATTGCTGATGAGATGGGAAGCTATTTAAAGTTTGTAATATAGTAGCGACTTGATCTTAGTAGTACTTTAAAAGAATTACTCCCACTGCTCTATTAAGAACTGATTAAGTGAAGCAAGGTTAGAAGAAAGGGATGAGAACTGAAACCTACATTGTTTCTCATCCGTGTGTTTAATAATTCTGAGAGAAAGCATAAGTTCTTTTGGCCTGTATGTTAAACAATATTGAGGTTCGTCAAACTATCTTAGTTTTTTGTTCCAAAAAATATCTGTTGCTTGTAGATAAGTCCGTGAATTAAGACTATAGCTTACTTAACTACTAAATCATCATTACTCACTATAATACTCCTGCCTTGCTGTGCCCACCAACATAAAGCTTGTAAGTTCTAATCTTTACCCAATATCAACTAATTTACCACCTAGAATGGCCTATCCTAATATTACCAAGCTGAGGCCTTTAAGCTAAGTTAATATCACCCGAGACTTCCCTCTTTTGAAACATATTACTAAGCCTATCAATGTGGTGTTCTCTCTTACTGCAATAAGTCTAATAAACTTATTTTACTTGATCAGTAGACTATTCTGGTAGTCTTTTGGGGAGTTGTTGACCAATAGGAAACTAGCTAAGAGGCTATTGCATTAATATAGGTAAGAGGTAAAACAATGATTTATGTGTGAGTGTAGTAGCAAAGGTTCTATGAAGTGTTTGGATTCTAAAAATATTTTGAAATAGTAACAGATAATTTTCAGGCAGATCAGATGAAGAATGAGAGAAAGAGATAGAAGCCCCCCAAAATTGAAGTTGTTAGCCTAAATAGCAGGAAGTTATTGTTACCATCCATTTGAAAATGAGGCAATATTTAACGTCATAGGGCTAGATGACACCACAAAAGAAGAGAATGTAAATACAACAGAGAGAGGTCCAAGAATAAACTCCAAGATACACCATTGCTTTCAGGTCAAGAGAATGAAGAAAAATCAGAAGAGGGGACTGAGAAGGAGTAGCAACGAGGAGAGAAAAGCCAGCAGAATTTGGTGTCCTGCAAGTCAAATATGTGTACTCCAATGTAAATGTCATTGCATCTTAGTTTTTCTAATTGCCTCATCAGGATTCAGCTTTCCAAAGGGATGCTAAAGCAGTTGCTACACATCCATTTGCCTTCTGGCTTCCAATGTAACTCTTCTGCTTTTCTCTTCATTATTGTAAATTTGTGTTTAAAAACACAATTTACAGTCATTTTATGACTGTTTTTTTTCTTTCTTTGCCTTCTGTATAAACATGTTATCCTAATTCCGAAGATACTACATTATTAGTATGTCTCTAAACATTCTCTCCTAATCTACTGTCACTGCCTCCTCTTTGACATCATCTTTTGCCTATGATGGTATAGCAGTTTACTAGTTTCTCTCTCTTTCCTCCACTCACCCTATTACTAATGAAATTTCCTCATAGTTGCCAGTGTGATCTTTCTAAAAGGAAAATTTGTTCACAACACTCTTCTACCTTAAAATTTTCAATGATCTTACACAGGATCTGGAATAAAGTCCACCCTCCATTTTATAGGTAAGTTCATTCACAAAGTGAACATTGTTTTCTTTTCCAGCTCTAGATATTCTTGAAATCAAATATCTTTCAATATACTTAACTATATATAATTCCTGGAAATAGCCATGATGGCTGTCACTTCAGGCTCTTTGCACATGCTTCTCCTTGTTCCCAGATTACAGCCTTTTCTTTTTCCATCTGATATAGTTTGTATATTTGTCCCCACCCAAATCTCATGTTACATTATAATGCCTAATGTTGGAGGTGTGGCCTGGTGGGAGGAATTTGTATTATGGGCTCAGATGAATGGCTTAGGCAATCCCCTTCGTGACAAGCAAATTCTCTCTCTGAGTTCACACAAGATCTGGTCATTTAAAAGTGTGTGGCAACTCTCCCCCCATTGTCTCTCTCTCTTGATCCCACTCTGGCCATGTGACATGCCTGCTCCCCCTTTGCCTTCCACCATGATTGTAAGCTTCCTGAGGCAATCTCTAGAAGCCAAGCAGGTACCAGCATGATGCTTCCTATAACACCTGAGAACTGTGAACCAATTTAACCTATTTTCTTTATAAATTACCCAGGCTTAGGTATTTTTCTGGAAGAGGGCAAGAATACAGTTAAATTTCATTACCTGAACAGCTGGGAAATCCCAAGCAAAAGGAAAAAAAGCACAAAGAATGCTAGGCTCTTCCCCTCTTCTTGACATTTTTATGTAGCTGACATTTGGTTGACAGGAATTTCTGAAGGAGTGAAATAAAGTTTACAGTATATGTAGAAAGACAGACATCTTTTAGGAGTTAGGAAATAATTAGATTAATGATATGCCCATGAGCTTCTGGTGATTTTTGAACATCTACTGGTGGAGCTAACCTACTCTTACATACTCTGGCCATTTTACAGCTCAATTACCAACATTGGATGATAGCAAAAGTTGTGAAAGCCTGCAGATAGCTTCCAGAATATATTTCCCTTCAATGCACTCTGAAGCATATTATTTTTTCTGATTAAATCTATCGCCCATGCATTTGTAATGTGTGAGAAAATAAGCCCTTGATTCTGATTACTACATCCTCAAATATCTAATAGGAACAGACATTAGGTTATACACTTTCAAATCAAACAAAAAGATTTGCATATGAGAAAACTAGCCAGGAAAGTCAATAGGAAGGAAAAAGACAGTAAAGTTTGTTTGTATATTTTGGTGTGTTTCCCTTTTTATGGTAAAATGTCCCACGTGAATCCCCTTTCTTGACATGCTGCCTTAGTCTGTACAGAAGACTAGAACTGCTTGTCAGAAACCAGAAGGAAATGTTGATTGTAAGGCTAAGTGGCAGCACTTGGCTAGCAAGTCATGAGGGTACTAAATAATAAGCTCAGATTTTAAAATAACTGCTTCAGAATTGTTTTAGGACTGGTACAAAGGGAAAGAAAAGGCTTTCAAGTATTACTATACATTTCTCTGACACTTCTTTCCCAGAATGGGGATGTTTATGTCATCTTAAACTGCTTAGTATCCTCCATTAAAAGTGGCACCTGTATATTGGACTAAATACAAGTGTTTCACAAATACAGTTAAAATTATAGTAATAATAGTAGTATGTGTATATTAGGTTGATTTTTCTGTGATGGTCTTAGGGACAAATTGGTTTTCTTAATGATAACTGATCATAGTTTTGATGTGTGTGTGCCAGACTCTGAGAAAATAAATTAAGGTTTCAATCCCCCAAAAAGGCTTACACAGTTAAAATACACCAAGTGTGAAATTAGTGGGTTTACTTGGGAAACACAAGCCCTTAGAGTAGTTCACATGTATTAAATTCTTACTTTGTACTAGATGCTATGTTAAAATTATTTGCTTATTTTATTTCATTTAATTTTTACTAAAGCACAATCTTTATACACATTTGTTAAATTCGGATACTGTGGATTAGTGAGGAAAAAGTCATTTAGAAGTGCTCACTCAAATAAAAAGTAGAATGTGTTATGATTTAAACCTTAATTACTTTGTTGCGTTAAGAACGTTTCATGCTGATGCCTGTGGCCTATGGAGAAACACATCAAATGTAGATAATAAAAATTCAATTGTAGGGATTAATGGAAAGACCACTTAGTCAAGCGAGTACACTCTTAATCTAGCTCATTCTTTAATCAATTTAATTTTAGGTGGTTTGGTTTATGGAGACCCTGGGTAAGGATCATACTCCAAACTCTTGGTGTTATCCTCCCAATCGTTATAATAATAGTCTCCCTGGTGCACTGTATTCTCTCAAGGATTTTAAATGTTTTCATGCAGCCATCTCTGGAATGTCAAATGGTATCTTTTCAACTGGAATGACAAAAGCTGGAAGAAATGTGAGACCATGAGGACACTGTAACCTCCTATGAATGACATGCTGAGACTGGAAACTTAAAATGATGGTAACTGAGAGTGGTGCTAAGGCCCTAAGTTTTTATCCCACTCTCACCTAAGTGAGAATCTGGCCCAAAAAGGGAAATTTTCTTTTAAACAAAATTATGGGAGGCCATTATTTTGGACTGAGCTCATGCACTAGGCCCCAACAAACCAAACCAAACTAAAATGGAGTCACTCGTGCTAAATGTAACATAATCAAGCTAAGGCTCTAAGAAAACACATAGATCCTAGAACAGACCAGGTTTTGTTCTTCTCTTGTAAACAGGATGTTCCAGCATGAGGAGGTACTCTCTACTCAGTCCTTATTCCCTCCTTGCAAAACCCACTGTTCTACTGTGGGTTTCAAAACCATATAAGTACATTTACAACAGTGACAGTAATATTAATGACTAAAGTTTTGATCAATCTCTCAAAATTGAGAAAATGACCCAAAGGGGAGAATTGTTAAAGCAAACTAAATATGTCCTGAGAAGGATTCCCTACTTCTATTATTTGCATCCTCGTGGATGAACTGTAACCTAGCTTAATAGTCAGACAAAGTTGAAAACCTAACTTTGTAGTATATGCACGTGTAACAATAGCTGAGTGTTGGCAAATCGCAACAGCCATACTTCAATCACTCAGACTGCTGAGTATTCAAACTGTGTTCTAATAAGTCAAACACTGAGCTGTAACCAATCTCACTGTTTCTGTACCTCACTTCCAATTCCTGTACATCACTTTACCCTTTTTCCTCTGTAAATTTGTTCTGACCACGAGGCTCCCCTGGAGTCTCTGTGAATCTGCTGTGATTATGGGGGCTTCCCAATTCGTGAATCATTTATTGCTAAATTAAACTCCTTTACATTTAATTCAGCTGAAGTTTTTCTTTTATCAATAGTTAAAGCAAACCTATATCTCACAAGCACTGGTTTAGAATCTCTTCATACATTTCTCATTTAATTTTTGCTATCATCTTTTGAGATAGGTATTATTATTATTTTTCAGGTGTGTTTTACTTTAAATATGAGCTCTTTATGGTGGCTAAAAGTCAATCTAAAAATTACCCAGAAGGATTTCAGCAAGATGTGAACTAGGAAGTTCCAGGCCCTCATACCCCAATGGAATCATTAAAAATATAATTAGATCCTGAATAAAATAACTTCAATGTAGCTCTGGAAAAATGATGAAATGTCTCCTGCAATCAAGCAAATGCCAAATCAAGAAAAAAGCCACATTTGAAGTGGTACAAATTCATAGCATTATTACTTATAAATTGGCAATTTATATCTGTATAAATGTATGGAGTATAAAGTGATGTGATGATTTATGAATATAATGTGAAATAATGAAGTCAAACTAGTTTACATGTTCATTACCTCAAATACTTCACATTTTTTTTTTGGTGAGAACCTTTGAAATTTACTCTTAAAAAATTAAAAATTTTTCAAATGTACAATATTCTATTATTATTATTATCTTTTATCTATTTATTTACTTATTTTTTGAGACGGAGTCTTTCTCTGTCACCCAGGCTGGAGTGCAGTGGCGGGATCTCGGCTCACTGCAAGCTCCGCCTCCTGGGTTCACGTTATTCTCCTGCCTCAGCTTCCCGAGTAGCTGGGACTACAGGCGCCCACCACCATGCCCGGCTAATTTTTTGCATTTTTTTAGTAGAGACGGGGTTTCACCGTGTTAGCCAGGATGATCTTGATCTCCTGACCTCGTGATCCACCTGCCTTGGCCTCCCAAAGTGCTGGGATTACAGGCGTGAGCCACTGCGCCCAGCCTCAATATTCTACTATTAACTATATTCACCACACTGTCCAATACAACTCAAAAAATGTATCCTAACAGATTTTGTACCTTTTGATTATTATCTCACCATTTTCCCCACCCTCCAGCCTCTATAATTACCATTCTACTCTCTATTTCTATGAGTTCAATTGTTTTATATTATTGTGAACCCTGAAAATTTGAGACAGCTATCAGTTAATTTACAAAGTTTATTTTGCCAAAGTTGAGGATCCGCCCGTGACACAGCCTCAGGAATTCCTGATGACATGTACCCAAGGTGGTTGGGGTACAGTTTGGTTTTAGACATTTTGGGGAGGCATAAGACATCAATCTAATCCATGTAAGAAGTACATTAGTTCTGTCCAGATAGGCTGCCTCAACTCAAACCAAGTCCCCACCACTGGGGGTTTCCGGGTCACAGGTAGGTGAGAGACAGATGGTTGCATTCTTTTGAGTTTCTGTAAGTCTTTCCCAAGGAGCCAATCAAAATATGCATCTATCTCTGTGGGCAGAGAGATGACTTTGAATAGAATGTGAGGCAGATTTGCCCTGAGAGGTTCCCAGCTTGAAAAAGTCCAAGATACTTTCCTTTCACATTTCCTCCCTTTAGTTTTTCGAAGTCTTCTGGAGAAAGCATTTTGCAAGAAAATGAGTCTCTAGTCTCAGGTTTCATCTGTCTCTCATGGCTAGGATGGTTTATTCCTAGACGGGTAGGTCCCGAAAGCTCATTTTTAGCAGGTTGTGAAGTCTCATGTCCTGTGAAGAGAAAACAGCGGGGAGGAAAGGAGAAATAACAACAACAAACAAAAGAACAATCCTAGAAAAATCAATATAAGCCACATTACTCTGAAGTCCATATATTAGTAGGCAGGTATGGAAGTGGCTTATGTATGTAAATATGTTAATGTTATTTTCTTCTGAAGTTTGTCTTTCTTCAGTTCACAGGGTTTTAAGAAAACACAGCTTAGTTTTCACTGACTGTAAATTAGGATAAATGAAAAAAAAAGGAAAAAAATTGAAATCATTATTTTGAAGACTTGTAACCAAGAAAAATTAGAATTGAGACTGAACTGTAGAAAATAATAAAAATTGGGGGAAAAAAATCCCATTAGGCAAGACTAGAATCTAACAACAAGTGTACAATAGATTTGAAACATAATTTTATTCTCTCTCCAGTTTCCCATTTTACTAAAAACAAATCATGGTAAAACCGGTTTGCTTATTATGCTTGGCCTAATTATTTGTATATAGTGCAGCAAGAATAATTATTTTTTACATAGGCTGTAAAATTGGCTTTGATGGAACTTTGTTCCATAGGAGGAATCTCAGATAATCCTTTTTTTTTTTTTTTTTTGAGATGGAGTCTCGTTCTGTTGCCCAGGCTGGAGTGCTGTGGCTCCATGTCAGCTCACTGTAACCTCCGCCTCCCGGGTCCGAATGATTCTCTTGCCTCAGCCTCCCAAGTAGCTGGGACTATAGGCGCCTGCCACCATGCCCAGCTAATTTGTTGTATTTTTAGTAGAGTCAGAGTTTTACCATGTGCGCCAGGATGGTCTCGATCTGCTGACCTTATGATCCGTCCGCCTCAGCCTCCCAAAGTGCTGGGATTACAAGTGTGAGCCACCGCGCCTGGCCCAGATAATACTTTTTTAAAGCTGAGCCCAGTCATTGATTTGTGCCATCAAATACCTATGATTTGGGTGAATTTCCTCTCTTCTTGAGGTTCCAGGATAAATCTGAGGCTTCTGTGCTTGTCAGAAAGTGACATTCTTTACTTACCACAGGTCAGAAACCCTGTACAGAGACTGTGTACACAAAATGTGAGGCCAGTTTTCCAAGGGCTTTTATTGGCTCCATAAGTCGTTTGATTCCTTAAAGGAAAGCACACTATTCCAAAGCCTTGGTAAAATAACCAGTTTCTCCAGTTGTTTCCTGTTATGAATGAAAACAGATTCTTATTGCACTTATTCAAATAACTGTATTGCCATAAGTTAAGAATTCTCACAGATAGTTTCCAAATTCTGGAAAAGCAGGTAGAGAGAAACAAATATGCTCCAAATTTTGTTGATAGGATTATACTAAATTGTTAAAAGCTGTCAATAGCTTAAAAAAAAGAAAGTTTTAAGACTCTGAAAAAGAAAACAATCAGCAAACATTTTAAGCAAAAAGTCAAAACAATTGGTTCAGTCCATGCAGTCAGTTAATTCCTGTTCCGCCTGATACTCATGAACATTTTACCTCTCTATGAATCCTGAAATATTTTTCTCTATTCTGATGTCATAATTTCCAAAGTTATCAGAAACCTGCATTTAAGAGCACCTGCTGGAGTTTTCTAGCTAATTATAAAGCCACCTTCTAAAGAGGACCAAAACAAGACAACAATTGTCTATGGATAAAAAAAAGTTTTAAGGCAGCCATACTCAAAAGACACAATTGACAAGGAAATGTTTTACCTCTGTGGCACGCAATAATTTTAACATAACAATTTTGATTATTCCTGATAATATACACTAAGTTATATCAGAATTACAGGAGTTTCCCATAATTGTGGAAAACATACCAATAACATATTTATACAAATACAGGCCAAAGAAGATCACCATTTCATATCTGACAATGCTTTCTGTATAATTTTTATACCTAATAAGCCAAATTACATCATTTTTTGGACTAGGAAACCTAATGTCTTAAAAGATTAATTAGGTTAGAAAAATACATAATTTATAATTTGATTTTGGAAAGTGTGTCAGATACAAAAGCTTTAAAACACTCGATATTACAAAATAGGATTACAGGTCATTGCAAAGTTATTTATTTAACCAAAGTGATAATTCAAGGATTTCAAAAAAAAAGCAAAAACTTTCATTCTTTGAGAGAGGAGACTTAATTTTCTAAACAAGGATCCCTAATAGAAACAGCATGAAGTCAATTACATTTTTTTAATTTTGTAAACAATCTATAAAATTTAATCTTCATTATAAAATATAACTTCCATAAGCCTTTTATAACCTTTATAACCTTTATAAAGAAGTTGGTTAATGCTTCAAGAAAACCTTGTTAATCTGACACAAGGGGCCATATATTGGTTTTGCATCAATGTGCGTTTGACACTAATAATTAACTTATAGAGAAACTGAATTTATTTTATCTTTCAAAATGGGCCTTGCAATCTTACACAACCACCTCTTGCGCGATAGTCCCTGGGCCTTGAAGAATGGAATAGCTTTAATTTCTTGCCCTGTGTCTCAGGGATGCAGTTTATTTTGATTGGCATCTTCTATGGGGCCTGAGGAAGAGGCTTTAATTGTTGTCAGTGTTTAAGATTTAGCAGGACTTGATGTCCTTTTTAGACCCCGGAGTTAAAGCCCTGTAACTCAATGTTACAAGGACTTTAAAGGCACATACAGAAGATACATGGATGTAATAATTTTAATTGATAAAGAAAATTATTGGGCCGGGCCTAGTAGCTCACACCTGTAATCCCAGCCCTTTGGCAGGCCAAGGTGGGTGGATCACTTGAGGTCAGGAGTTCAAGACCAGCCTGGCCAACATGGTAAAACTCCATCTCTACTAAAAATACAAAAATTAGCCGGGCCTGGTGGCATTCACCTATACTCCCAGCTACTTGGGAGGCTGAAGCACGTGAATCACTTGAACCCGGGAGGCAGAGGTTGCAGTGAGCGGAGATCCTGCCACTGCACTCCAGCCTCGGCAATAGAACGAGACTCAGTATCAAAAAAAAAAAAAAAAATTATCTCATTTTTTTTTCCTAAGCAAACCAAAACTTAATAATAATACAACCAGTTATTTGAGGGCTAAATTTGCCATACAAATTTTTTTCTTATATAAAAATTATTTCTCTTTAAGCTTTTTTATCTCAAAAAAATAATCTATTTCAATAATGTTCATAACATTTTTTTTAATTTCCTGGTTCCTTTTACCTTGTTTTATACATAACCTTTAAATAAGCTTTGAATTAGACAAAAGTTTTTTACCTTTCTTTTAAAAGGACACACTTCTCTCTTTTTTTATTTTTAGCAAGAATTTCTTCCTACAATATATATTTATTGGAAAATATCCAAATAATGAAATATTTATTATTTAATTAATATAACTTTATATTCTAAATTATATCCAGTTTGTCCACAAGTATTTGTCATATTACATTTACCTAATTATTTTATTTTAATTGTTCACTAGATTATTTATGAAAACTGTGATAGTCATGAATTTAAGTTATTAAACTGCCATTGTAAAATTATAACTGAGCCAGTAAGAGAAAAATTTGACCTAATTGATTTCTTCTTGCTCTTAACCTCCAAGCTGTCCTAGTTCATTCCTGGGCATAGGCGGAACTAACTTTGGAAGGAACTTAGTTTATACTTTAGTTTTGAAACAAAGACAGTAACAGTCCTTTCCCAAAACAAACCTTACTGTCTGTGGACTAAACTGCCTAAAACTACAGGATTAGAAGTGATGGTAATCTTAATAAATTCTAGATCCAGCTATTTTCATTAAACCCATATCAATGTCTTTTTTATTAAAAATTACACGAGCAAAGATCATTCTTTTTAGGGCTGGGTTTATAGTTTTGTAACCCTTGTGTCAAATATTGACACCTTATAGTATTTGGCAGGGATAAGTATGAAATTGCTTCATTAATAAATGCAAACCAAAGTGTATGCTGGCAATTCTTAAGATATTGTGAATATTACTTTACCAATAATTTTTATTTTATTTTATTTTATTTTATTTATTTATTTATTTATTTTGAGATGGAGTCTTCCTCTGTCACCCAGGCTGGAGTGCAATGGTGTGATCTCAGCTCACTACAACCTCTGCCTCCCGGGTTCAAGCAATTCTCCTGCCTCAGCTTCCTGACTAGCTGGGATTACAGGCACCCACCATCATGCCCGGCTAATCTTTGTATTCTTAGTAGAGACAGGGTTTCACCATGTTGGCCAGGCTGGTCTCCAACTCCTGACCCAGGGTGATCTGCCTGTGTTGGCCACCCAAAGTGCTGAGATTACAGGCATGAGCCACCGCGCCCGGCAATAACTTCAAAGCTAGCTTATTTATTAAAGATTTCACTTAAGTTACATAAACTTGAAAAAGGATTTAACTAGTCTTTTCTTTTTTAGAATCTGATTTAAGCGCTTTTATTTTTCTTTAAGCCAATTAATTAAAGCTCTGTTACATATTTTTAGTAGTGAAACATTGTGTACACAACACAAATACATAGATTAGGCATGCCCAAGGAAGTACATTGTATAGATTTATAAGGACCCCCCCTCCCCGTTTTTTTTACTGTCTGACATTTTCAGATTCTTGATAACCTGTTTTACAACTCTGCAGTTGTCAGCTAAATAACCTTAATTTGCATATTAAAAGAAACAACTCAGGTGAAAATCAAATAGCAAAATTTACATCCTAAAGTACAGAGAGAAAAAGCCTGCTGGTGCTAGAGGGAGATGCTTTTACACTGCACTTATTTTTTTTTTTTTTAACGAAGACATTTCTGAGTGTCTAAACTACATTCTTCCTTAAAAGCCCAAGAGTATCCTCTGTTGCAATAACTATTTAGGTCAAAAAATCAGGTGAAAACAGAATTCAGTCAACTGAGAAGAAAAAAAAAACTTTTGCTCAAAAACAAGACAAGGTCTTGGGAGAGAAAAAAAAGACAACAAAAACATGAAGGCCTTTTAAATACAAAAACATGCATACGTACACACACACACATCTTGGATGTTAGCCTTTCAATTAAGCTGACTTTTAACCATTGAGCTCCTTTAAGAACAACAACAAAATCTTTTTAAATTTATGCTGCTAAACTTAAAATGATCACACAAATTATACAACTTCTGAGCGCTCTAAGTGTAAATAGAAATTAACATCAGCTGGTTGTTAATGCTAACTTTAGTTGTTTAAAAAGAATTTGCAAGACAGAATCCCAAACCAGTTTCTTACCTGGTGATGGGTCTCAGGCTTTAGGCTGTTCTCTACCATCCTAGAAGCAGGAAAACAAAACAAAACAAAACAGACAAAAAAAACAACAACAAAAACTCCACTGTTGGAAGCAAGCTCAAACTCCGTAAAGTAGTTACCTGACTTGCCTTCATTGTGTTGGAAGCAAGTAAAACTCCAGAAAAAAATAAATAAATAAATACATAAGAGGAGTTGTATGGCAAAAGAAACTTTAGATCTCAACCAAATTTTGGGAGATCAGAGTTTCTCTGGAAGGGGGTGCTCTCAGCAAATTGTCCTATTGGTTTGAGCCATGAAGTTAGCTCATGCTGGTACCAAGCCCTGATAGGAGATTTGTCAAAGTTCAGGGGCATTTCCACTCAGAATCTCCCCATGGTTACAAAAGTGTGAACCCGAAAATTTGAGGCAGGTCTCAGTTTATTTAGAAAGTTTATTTTGCTAAGGTTGAGGATGCATTTGTGACGCAGCCTCAGGAAGTCCTGATGACATGTGCGCAAAGTGGTCAAGGCACTGCTTGGTTTTAGACATTTTAGGGAGGCATGAGACATCAATAAATATATGAAATAATTACATTAGTTTCATCCAGAAAGGTGTGACAACTCAAAGCAAGGCCTCCCCACTGGGAGCTTCCAGATCACAGGTAGGTGAGAGACAGATGGTTGCATTATTTTGAGTTTCTGATAAGACTTTCCAAAGGAGGCAATCAGAATATGCAACTATCTCTGTGAGCAGAGGGATGATTTTGAATAGAATGGGAGAAAGATTGGCCCTGAGCAGTTCCCAGCTTGAAGCGGTCCATGATATTTTCCTTTCACAATCTACATATAAATAAGAATATGTAGTAATTATCTTTCTGCGCCTCATTTACATAGTGGTCTTTAATCCTATCCATGTTGTCACAAATAACAGAATGTCCTTTTTGTTAAGATAGAATACTGTTTCATTGTATATGTGTACCACATATTCTATATTCATACATCTGTTGATGGTTGCTTAGTTCATATCTATATCTTGCCTACTGTGACTAGTGCCTCAATGAATATGGAATTGCACGCATCTTTTTGATAAACTGATTTCAAATCTTTTGGTTACATACTAAGAAGTAGGATTACTAGATCATATTTTGTTTTGTGGGGAACCTTCATTTTCCATACTGGCTGTATTAGTTTACATTCTGCTATGGTTTGGATGTTTGTTCCCTCAAAATCTTATGTTGAAATTGAATCTCCAATATTGAAGGTAGCCTAATGGCAGGTGTTTGGCTCCTGGAGATGGATTCTTTATGAATAGGTTAATGGACTCCCTTGGGGGTAATTGAGTTCTCATTCAGTTAATTCCTACCAGAACCGGTTGTTAAGAAGAGCTTGACACCTCCTTACTTTCTCTCTTGTTTCCTCTCATCATGTCATGTCTGTACAAGCCAAATCCCCTTCACTTTTTGCCATGGGTGGAGGAAACCTGAGGTTCTTACCAGGTACGGATGCCCAATCTTGAAGTTTTCCAATCATCAGAAGCACAAGCCAAATAAACCTTTTTAAATGTATTTTATGGTCTCAAGTATTTCTTTATAGCAACACAAAATGGACTAAGACTCATTCATACCAACAGTGCACAAGTGTTTCCTTTTCTCCCCATGCTTGCCAACTCTTATCTTTCACCTTTTTGATCCTAGCAATTTGGACAGGGGTGAGATGATACCTCATTGTGGCTTTAATTTATATTCTCAAACTATTAGCAATGTTGAGCATTCTCACATACCTATGGGCCATATAAAACTTTCTGTCATTTGCAGCAATATGGATGGAACTGGAGGTCATTATGTTAGGTGAAATAAGCCAAGCACAAAAAAAGCAAATATTTTTTGTCCTCATCCATATATGTGAGCTAAAAATGTGAATCTCATGAAGATAGAGAGTAGGTTGGTGATTACCAGAGGCCAGGAAGGCTGGGAAGGTAAAGAGAGGTCGATTAATGGGTATAAATGTATGGTTTGATATAAAAAAATAAGACCTAGTGTTTGATAGATGAGTAGGGTCGTATGTATAGTTCAAAATAATTAGAAGAATTTAAATGTTTCTAACATAAATAAAAGACAAATATTTAAAGTTATGAATATCCCAACACTTATTTGATATTTACAAATTATACAAATGTAATAAATTATTACATATACCCCAAAGCTATGTACATCTATTGTGTATCAATAAAAAATAAAATTTAAAAAAGAGAAATGTCTATTCAGAGCCCTTGCTCATTTTTTTAAATGGGTTATTTGAATTTTTTGTTGTTGAGTTGTTTTAATTCTTTATGCATTTTGTATATTAACCACCCTTATCAGATGTATGGCTTGTAAATATTTTCTGCCAATCTATTTACACTGCTAATTGTTTTCTTTGCAGTATGGCTTGTAAATATTTTCTGCCAACCTATTTACACTGCTAATTGTTTTCTTTACAGTCAAGAAGATTTTTAGTTTGTTGTAATCTCATGTATATATTCTTGCTTTTGTTACCTGAACTTTTGAGGTAAAATCCAAAAAATCATTACACAAACCAATGTTGTGTAGTTTTTCCCCTGTTTTCTTCTAGTGCTTTTATAGTTTCTGATTTTATGTTTAAGTCTTTAATCTATTTTGAGTTGAGTTCTTGTATATGATGTGAGAAAAGGGTCCAATTTTATTATTCTGAATGTAGATATCCAGTTTCCTCAACACCATATATTAAAGAGACTATCCTTTTCCCATTGTGTATTCTCAGTCCCTTTGTGGAAAAACAACTGGCTATATATGCACAGGTTCATTTCTCAGCTCTCTATTCTAGTCCATTGGTTGGTTGATGTGTCTAGTTTTCTCCAGTACCATGCTCTTTTAATTACTATAGCTTTGTAGTATAGTTTGAAATCAGGTAGATTGCTGTCTTCAGTTTTGTACTTTTTGATCCATATTGCCTTTTCAGAATTTTTGTGGTTCCTTATAAATTTTAGAAATTTTTTCTATTTCCCTGAAATTTGACACAGGAATTTTAATAGAGATTGCATTGAATTTGTAGATTGCTCTGCATAGTAGGGACATGGTAACAATGCTAATTCTTTCAATCCATGAAGTTCTAATATCTTTCCAGTTATTTGCATCTTCTTCAATATCTTCCATGAACATTCTATAGTTTTCATCACACAGGTCTTTTATCTCCTTGGTTAAATTTATTTCTATGTATTTTATTTATTTTTGTAGCTATTGTAAATGAAATTGTGCTTGATTTTTTTTTGAATAGTTCATCGTTAGTGCATAGAAATGCTACTAATTTCTGTATGTTGATTTTTTTCTTGCAAATATACTGTATTTATTTATGAGTTCTAATTGTTTTTTATGGAATCTGTAGGGTTTTCTGTATATAAGATCACGTTTTCATCAAACAGGACAATTTCTCTTGTCTCTTTCCTATTTGGATGGCTTTTATTTATTTCTCTTGCCTAAATTGCTCTGGCAAGGACTTCCAATATAATATTGAATAAAAATGCTGAGAGTGGACATCCTTGCATTTTTTCCAGATTTTAGAGAAAAAGCTTTCAATTTTTCACCATTGAATATAATATTAGCTATGAGATTCTCATATACAGCCATTGTTGTGTTGATGTACATTCCTTCTATTCTTAATTTGGTTCGAGTTATCATCATGAAAGAATGTTAAGTTTTGTAAAATTATGCAGAAAAATATTTGAAAAAATCAACAATGCTTTATAATTTAAAAAGCACTTAAACTAGGAACAGAAAGCAGCTACCTCAATATAATGAAGTCCACTTATGAAAAACCTACAACCAGCGTTTTATTCAATGATAAAAGACCAAATGTTTTTCCTCTAAGATCAAGGAAAATATAAGGCTACCTGCTTCTACCACATGTATCCAACATAGTATTGGCATTTTTAGTCAGAACAATTAGTCAAGAAAATGAAGTAAATTGCATCCAAGTTAAAATAGGAGGAAAAAAGAGGTAGGATGAGGAGTTTTAGCATTAGTGATCACTGTACACAACAGCAACAGTAATAAATAATGCTTATCTGATGCTTATTTTATATCCGGAGCTCTTCTAAGAAAGACACTTATTGTCTCCATTTGAAGGACAAAAAATAAAAATATAATAAAAAAATAAAAAATTAAAAGAAACTACAGTACCAAAACTTCAAGTACAGGCAGCCCTCTTTTGTATTGCTTTTATATACATGACTTTTAGTTACCATGTGTATTAGTCTGCTAGGACTATCATACAAAATACCATAGACTGGGAACACAGCCCCTTTCTGGAAGCCATGGGGAAGAGTCTCCTTCCGAAGTTATTTAGATTATTGCAAAGCTCCATGCTGTTGTAGGACTGTGATTTCCTTGCCGGCTATTGGCTGAAAGTCAGTCTCAATTTCCAAAGGACTCACAAAGTCTTTGGTTTGTGATCCTTTTCCTCTGCCTCCAAAGTCATCAATAATTGGTGGAGTCCTTCTCATGCTTTGATTTTTCTCTGCTGACCTCTCATTCTATCACATGCCTCTTCTGCTTTCAGTCATGAATTTTTTGGTTTCTTGTTTTTTTGTTTGCTTGTTTGTTTTGTCTATTTTTGGTTTAAGGGTGTATGTGACTAGATTGGGTCCATTGGGATAATCCAGGATAATCTCTTCATTCCAAGGATTTTAATCTTAATCACATTTGCCAAGTTCCTTTGCCATATAAGATAACATTCATAGGTTTCAGTGATTAGGATATAGGTATCTTGGCCAATTTCTACCTACCACATGCATCAGCATCAGGAGCCAATCACATAATTTTCTTCAGAGTTTGTGGGTGGTTGATCATTGCTTGTCTATTATGTATTGTATAGATAATAACATTTGTAGTCATATTGTTTTCTTGTCTTCAAGTAATAAATCTACATAACATTTTTCACAAATGGATAAGTGAAGTAGGGAAATGGTCAACAGAAACAAAAGTATATTTTAAAAAGTGGATAATATTTTTGTGTGTAGACCTTGTGCCCTTTCACTTTGCTAAATTCACTAATTACTTCCAAGAGCTAATTAGTTTTGTATATTCTTTCAGGATGGCTATAATATTGTTTTCTGTGAACATAGATAGTTGTATTTCTTCTTAATATATATTTTTCATTGTTTTTCTTGCCTTATTGAGCTACTGAGTGCTTTCAGTATAATGATACATAGGATCATTATAGTTAAGAACATCCATAGTTAAGGACATTCTTGCCTTTTTCTTAATCTTGAAGAGAAAGCATTAAATACTCCACCATTCTGTATTACATTAATTAGGTATTTTTTAGATGCCCTCTAGTAAGTTAAATAATTTATCTTATGTTCCTAGTTTGTTAAGACTTATTTTTCAATTCATAAATGGTCACTTTTAGCAAAGGTTTTTTGTTTGTTTGTTTGTTTTAACAGAGTTTCACTCTTCTTGCCCAGGGTAGAGTGTAATGGCGTGATCTCGGCTCACTGCAACCTCCGCCTCCCAGGTTCAAGCAATCCTCCTGGCTCAGCCTCCTGAGTAGCTGGGATTACAGGCATGCACCACCATGCCCAGCTAATTTTATATTTTTAGTAGAGACGGGGTTTGTCCATGTTGGTCAGGCTGGTTGCGAACTCCCAAACTCAGGTGATCCACCCGCCCTGGCCTTTCAAAATGCTGGGATTACAGATGTGAGCCACTGCACCTGGCCAGTAAAGGTTTTTTTTAAATATCTATTTAATTTATCATTTTTTCTTATTTGGTCTATGAATACGATACATTGCATTGATTGATTTTTGATTGTCATAACACTGGAACAAAGTGAATATAGACACATTATATATATGTATGGAGCCAGACTTCAATGGTTAATATTTTGGTGAGTGTGTTTGCTTCTTTGCTCATGAGGAATATTCATCCATATTATTCTTTTTTGTAATACCTTTGTCTCTCTTTGATATTAGTTTAAGGCTGGTATCATAAAACGCATTAGGAAGTGTTCCATCCTCTTCTAATTTCTGGTAGAGGTGGTATAGAATTTGTGTTATTTAGTATATAATTCATTTACTGTAACCTTAATTTTACAAAATGTTGGCTGCTACTTTATCATGTATTTCTTCTATCATGTTAACTCTTTATTCTTCTGGGTTTCCAGTTATGCGTATGTTAGAACATTTGACATTATTCTATAGCTCTGGATGTTCTATTCTTTCTTTCCCAACTCTTTTTTCTCTTTATGTTTCGTTTTAGACAATTTCTACTAAACTATACTAAAGAAAACTGATTTTCGCATCTGTGTTGATTTCACTTGAGCATTTCTATGGCATTCTTCATCTTTATTATTATTATTTCATTTCTAGCATTTCCATTATATTATTTCCAGTATTTTTTATCTCTCTACTAAACGTACTCATCATCTCTCATTATCTACATTTTCTGTGAGAGCTTTTATGACACTAATTATAGTAATTACAAATTCCTTACGGAATAGTTCTAATATCTTTTTTTTTTTTTTTTTTTTTTTTTTTTTGAGACGGAGTCTCGCTCTGTCACCCAGGCTGGAGTGCAGTGGCGCACGGTCTCTGCCCACTGCAAGCTCCGCCTCCCGGGTTCACACCATTCCCTTGCCTCAGCCTCCCGAGTAGATGGGACTACAGGAGCCTGACACCATGCCTGGCTAATTTTTTGTATTTTTAGTAGAGACGGGTTTTCACCGTGTTAGCCAGGATGGTCTCAATCTCCTGACCTCGTGATCCACGCACCTCGGCCTCCCAAAGTGCTGGGATTACAGGCGTGAGCCACTGCATCCAGCCAGTTCTAATATCTTTGTCCCATTTGAGTAAATAATGTCTGAAAATGAGCATGTCTTTATTTCTCCTAGGATTTTGTAGATTATATGTGGGTATAACATCTTTTGTTTTTATTGTAGTTTAGTCTTAGATATAATTGTGTCCTTGACTTTCAAGAGTGGCTGTAAGTAGGCCAATAATGGCTCCATCAATAGCAGGTCCTAGTCGCTGGGACATGGTATGTGGAAAAGGACCTTTGCAGATGCCATTAGTTAAGACCTTGAGATGGAGAAATTATTTTTAATTATCCTGATGGGCCTTTAATCATATCATTCTGATAAGACAGAAGCAGAGGAAAATTTGACGCAGAGAAGAGAAAGCAATGTGACTGTGGCAGGCCAGGTCTCACTATCGTAGGCCTCCATAACAACTGTTTCAGTGCTGGCTGAGTGGTTAAGTTAAATATTAAAAGCCAGTGCCCTTATACAAAGGCTGGGATGTAACAAAAGCCCACCAAGAGTATTGCCTAGGCCTTTCCTGGGCTTTAAAAGCATGACAAAACAAGGAATATATATTATTTTAAGTCACAGTATATTATTTTAGGTCACAAAGTTTGTGGTGATTTGTTACAGTATCCATGGAGAACTAATGTAGTAACCTTTTTGGTTCCCCTGCTCCTCTGTGATTGCAGTTGTGACCCTGGAACCTTGCAGTGTAATTCTTTCTTTTCCCAAGAACTAGTGTCTTCCCCAATGCCCTAGGATATTTCCTTCTAGTGGCAATGAATGTTTTCAAATGCACTAAGACCAGCAGTGTTGCCCTGTTCCCCACAGAATAAGAATTTATTTTTCCATACTACTGATAAAGAGGAAGGAACCTTCCAGAGTTTCTTGGTATCTTTTCTGTTCTTTCACAGATTTCCACAACAATGGATATTTCCTAGGAATCTTTCTAGTGGTTTCTGTGAAGACTTGGTAGGTTAGTTAAAAGAAAAAGAGCATTGAAAATGATGCATGCTCCCCAAAGTGTACATGACCACCTTTATCACACAGTTTTCTCCAGAAAAACAGAAATGATAGGGCATGTATGTGAATATAGAGAGATTCATTTTAAGGAAATGGCTCATGCAGTTGTGGAGTCTGGCAAGCCCAAAATTGGCAGTGTAAGCCAGCAATCTGGAGACCAAGGAAGGAGTTGACATTTAAGTTAAAATCTGAAAGCGATCTACAGACAGAATTTTCTCTTTCTTAGAAGAGTCGGTCTTTTTTTTTTTTTTCCTAAGGCCTTCAAGTGATAAGATGTGGCTCACTTACACTGCAAAAGGTGATCTGCTTAAAAGTTTGCTGATTTAAATGTTAATTTTTTTCTACAAAATATCTTCACAGCAACATGCAGACCAATGTTTGACTAAATATCTTGGTATTATGGCCTAGCCATATAGATATAAAATTAACTATCATACCTCCAGAATTTTCACACTGTCCCACCAGCAAGCACTAGCTAACCTTTGACAGTTTATCAACTGTACTAGTTTCCTAGGCCTGCTACAAGGTGGTACAGTGCTGGAGGTAGGCCAGAAGTAAAAATATCTAGTTTTCGTACTGCCATGCTCCTTACAAAGGCTCTCGGGGAGAATCCTCCCTTGCCTCTTCAAGATGCTGGTGAGTCCAGGTATTTCTTTGTTTGCAACTGCATTACGCCAGTCTATGCTTTTTTTCTTCATATAGCTTTTTCCTCTGTCTCCCTGATCTCCCTGTGTCCTTAACTCAATTACATTTGCAAAGACCTTTTTCCCAAATAAAGTCACATTTACAGGTTCGTATGGTTGAGATATAGACATATCTTACTGGGTTCACAATTCAACCTACTACAATCTGCTCTCTGGCCTCCAAATTTTATGTCCCTCCCACATGCAAAATACATTCACCATATTCCAAATTCTCTAACATCTTAATCTATTAGGACATCAACTTTAAATCTAAAATCTCATCTAAATAAAATCAGTTTAAAAGTCCCAAATCTTATCGTGTAAATCATCTAAATCAGGTATGGATGAAGCTCTCCATATGATCCATCCTGGGGCAAATTTTTTCTCCTTTGGTGGAAACTAAAATACAAGTTATATCTTTCCCCAAAACAATGGTGGGACAGGCAGAGAATACACATTCACATTCCAAAAGGAAGAAAATGGAAGAAACAAAGAGGCCAATTGTCCCAATCAAATTTTATATTCAGCAGGACAAATTTTATTAGTTTCAAGGTCTGAGAATAATCTTTTGTGAGTGGATGCTCTGTCATTTCAGTTCACAGTGAAATCAATGGCTCCACATCTCTGAATGGCGTGCTGTGGTTCTTTTGGCTTCTGCCATTTTTTAAATCTACTCCCAGGCCAATTCTATCAGCCTCTGCCTCTGCACCCACAGTGGCACAATCTAATTCTGCCTTTGTGTCCATGCCTCCAGCTGTCTCTCATTTTGCTCTATCTCTGTCCCATTAAATTCAAGTTGACAATGCTTCTGCGGATACAACATTCTTAAAAACCTGTGCATCTTCTGATTTATGTCATGCGGTTCCTTGCCAGTAGACAAAAGGGTTTTCCACACGACTTTCCTGGATAGCTTCATCTCTATTATTAGCTTCTTCTAAGATGGTTGAATGAATCTACGATTAACAAATCTGATCTATTCAGCATTAGTTTTGGTTTTCTCTCTGGAGCATGCTTTCCCAAAAGTGAATTTTATAATCTTAGCATCATTTGCAATTCTGATAAGCCGATAATCTTTTAAATTATCAAGTTTATGTTCCTTGTAGCGTAATAGTTTTTTCTTCAATTTATCTCTTTCTTCCCACATTTTGCTAGAAGCACCAAGGAGAAAGCATGCTGCATCTTCAAGACTATGCCTGAAATCTCCTCAGCTAAATATCCGTGGTCATTGCTTACAAGTACTGCATTCCATTTAACAGAAGTAAACAATCCAGGTAATTTTTCTGCCTCTTTATAATAAAGAGTGACTTTCCTACAATTTCTAATAACATCTTCCTCATTTCCTTATAAAATCTCACTAGAAGCATCTTTAGCATTCCTATTTCTACCTATTTTTTGTTTATGATTATATATGTATCCTCTATGAGCTTTCTCTACCGTGCTCCTCTTTCTCTCATGGGCCTTCCCCAGCAGTGCCTTTCAAGTTTATATTTCTACCAATAGTCTCATTAAGGCAATCCAGGATTTTTTTATACCTCTCAAAATTCTTCCACCCTCTGCACATTATCCAATTTTCAAGCCACTTCAGCATTTTTAGATATGTTATAGCAGCATCTGACTTCAAGTGCCAAAATCTGTATTAGGTTTCTAAGCCTGCTGTAATAAATTATCACAAACTAGGTGGCTAAAAGTATCAAATTTGTTCTCTTACAGTTTTGGAGTCTAAAATCAAGTTATTGACAGGGCCATGCTCCCTGCAAAGCCTGTAGGGAAAATTCTTCATTTCCTCTTTCAGCTTCTGATGGCTCTAGGCATTCCTTAGCCTGTAAGCATGTAACTCCAATCTCTGCTTCCTTCTTCACATGTCCTTCTGCTTTTTTTCTGTGTTTGTCTAGGTGTCTCTTATAATGACACCTGCCATTGGATTAAGAGCCCACCATGATAATACAAGTTGACAGCATCTCGTGATACTTAAAAACATCGGCAAAGATTCTTTCTCCAAGTAAATTCATATTCACACGTTCTAGGAGTTAGCATGTAGGCATATTTGGTGGGGAGTCCACCATTCATTTCACTACACCAGCCATTCTATCTGAGTCTTCTTATATGTGTCCTGTAGCATCTATGGAAGTGTATATTTGTTCACCATTTCTCCTTCCCAACAGGCACTCTCCTTCATTAGATACAGGCTCAGTTGTTTACTCTGCAACCCTTGCTTTCCAATGTATTTGAAAATATAGTATGTAATTTGAACTTATTCTACTTTTTATTTATTTTATTTTATTTTATTTTATTTTATTTTATTTTGTTATTATTATTTTGAGACGGAGTCTCGCTCTGTCACCCAGGCTGGAGTGCAGTGGCGCGATCTCGGCTCACTGCAAGCTCCGCCTCCCGGGTTCAGGCCATTCTCCTGTCTCAGCCTCCTGAGTAGCTGGGACTACAGGTGCCCGCCACCACGCCCAGCTAATTTTTTGTATTTTTAGTAGAGACAGGGTTTCACCATGTTAGCCAGGATGATCTCGATCTCTTGACCTTGTGATCCACCTGCCTTGGCCTCCCAAAGTGCTGGGATTACGGGCATGATCCACTGCGCCCGGCCTACTTTTTGTTTTAAGGGATTATGTCATGCTCCTTCTAGCTGTCTATATGCCACTCCAGAAGCCAGAAACCTGATAAGGCATTTTAATAGTAACATGTATCTAAATGGAGTTTTATTTATCAGTGAGATACTACTGTTCCTTGGTTACTCGAGGATGGAATCACCTTATACAGAGAATAATGTGAGATACTTAGACAGGATTTGTGTAACAGTTTGACAGTAGCTTTGATCATGCTAAGACCCCATAGAATGCATTTGCACAATTGCATGTACTCTTAATTATCCTAGTGCAATTCCATCTAGAAATCACTCTATTGATAAAATGACTTTTGGCTCTATGTTTTGAGCAAAGAATTTCCTTAATTGTTACTCTACTGGTTACTCATACTGATTTGATTTTTTCTTAGTTTAAAATTAGAGTTACTTATGTACAGCAGTTATGATAATTGGGGATGTTTATAATTCATCGCAATTCACAGAAGTTTCTATAATTTGATTTCGTAATAAGAATGTGGTAGTCTAGATAAATATATGAATATATGTAGTCAGAATGTAGCTTAATTATAAGTTTCTATAAAATAAATGGAAAAATGATTTCAATCTCAGTGTAATCACTATTCTTACTAGAGTTTTTGGGGGGCAGAATTTCCTTTTCATCTCGCTATTAACTTCCACATGAAGCTTTGTGAAGGCCATTCTCACACATAAGTGCATGAAAGCAAACAATGCTCGACTAAAAATTAGCATATATTTCTTCCCAATATAGCCTGTAGTCAAACATAAATTACTTGACCTGCTTGTGCTTCAGATTCAGCAAGTGTTATTATATTTTAGTGAGTTTTATCAGATTACTTCAACAACTCTTGAGAAACTCTTGGATTTTACTTTTCTAGTCTGAATGTTTAGTTTTAAAATACTTAATCCTCACATGCAAAGCTTACATAGGACATCTTTATATTACAAACGCATTATATTTTGTTGTAGCATATAAACAGCAATTGCTGGACCTATGTTGTATTTTTTTTCCTATTAATAATGCCTAAAGAGGCCGGGCGCGGTGGCTCACGCCTGTAATCCCAGCACTTTGGGAGGCTGAGGCAGGCGGATCATGAGGTCAGGAGATTGAGACCATCCTGGCTAACGTGGTGAAACCCCGTGTCTACAAAAAATACAAAAAGTTAGCCGGGCTTGGTGGTGGGCACCTGTAGTCCCAGCTACTTGGGAGGCTGAGGCAGAAGAATCGCTTGAACCCGGGAGGCGGAGCTTGCAGTGAGCCGAGATGGCACCACCTCACTCCAGCCTGGGAGACAGAGCGAGACTCCATCTCAAAAAAAAAAAAAAAAAAAAATGCCTAAAGAGTTTGAATGCATGACAAAAATGCAATATAGTTCACCTTCCATAAAAAAAAAAAACGCTAAAAAACGAAAACTTTTTTTCATGATTAAACACTAAACCTCTAATCTACTTAGTCCGTAAAGTTTTTATGAAATATACAGTTAATGAAGTTACCAATAACCTGAATACAGCGTAGATGGTACTTCTTTGTGGAGTCCTTAACTTTTCTTGTTTCTTTTAGGTCAAGCTTATTTTTTTTCAGGAATTTTATTCCTTCCTATATAATATATGTAGAAATATGTAATCCCCTTATATATTTTATACATATGTGCATTGTATATGAAGGAACCTACATATGTGAAGGTTACATTTTAAATATATGATTTGCTTTCTGTGCATCTAAAATGAAACACTTTCTTTCATATTAATTATATTCTTCTAGTAAACAGGTGGGCAGCTCATGAGCTTCCTAGCAAAGGAAGAGAGTAACAGACACATCATACATTTTTTCTTTCAGTACACAACGGGATCAGCAGTAATTAATGAACTGTGTTTTTAAGTAGCTCCTTATTCATCTAGGGAAAGTCGTTCCACAATATGTGCATCACTGGTTTTCATTTTAATTAGTTTTGATCAAAAGTTGTCAAACTTATCCAGTGGTCCAGCCAATAAATTTATGATTATCAATTTTCTATTCAAATGTCTTATTTCAGATAGAATAAAATAAAATCTTGCAAAGCATAAACCTCCGCATACTCTGAACCCTTGAGAGCCAAAAATTATTTTATTATTGAGTGATGTTTTTCCCTGTCCCACTCCCACGCAAATAATGAATAATTTTTATAATTTATTTAACAGTCACCTGTGTCAGGAGGAATTAGCAGTTAAAACAAGATCCAATCTTAGTAACATATAAGTAAAAGTTGCCTTTTCAAAATACATCTTAGTTTTTCTCATGTTCTGTTTGCAAGAAAACATTGAATTTCTTAGTGTTTATGTATTGTATTCTGTATTTTAAGTTTATTTTAAAAAGTAAAACCTTCTATCAAGTTTAGTATTTGAAATATATTTTATTTTTGTAAGAAAATTTCAGGCCGGGTGGGGTGGCTCACGCCTGTAATCCTAGCACTTTGGGAGGCCCAGGCGGGCAGATCACTTCAGGTCAGGAGTTTAAGACCAGCCTGGCCGACATGGTGAAACCCTGTCTCTACTAAAAATACAAAAATTGGCTGGGTGTGGTGACTTGCGCCTGTAGTCCTAGCTAGGAAGGAGGCTGAGGCAGGAGAATCCCTTGAACCCAGGAGGCGGAGGTTGCAGTGAGCCAAGATCGCGCCACTTCACTCCAGCCAGGGCCATAGAGTGAGACTCATCTCAAAACAAAACAAAAAAAAAAGGAAAGGAAACTTCAAATTCTAAACTTCATTATTTTCTGTTACTCAATAATACCTTAATATATTAGATGGATATAATATTTAACTGTATGAGAATTTAAGAAAAAAGTTTCATAACACAATACCCATCAAATTTCATTTGTAATGTCATTTCTCAGAGATAAAGTAGTTTGAAGTTCCTCATAGTAAAAGCTGAGTTAGAGTTGTTTTGCTAATTTACAATTTCAGATAGATGCATATGAAAGGAAAATTTGCGAGAAAATGTAATAAATTATTTAAAATATATTTTAAAATATAATTCCTTACATGTTTCATAACTCAGCCATTTACAATCACGATAACTATCATGATAATTATGTACTTCACCAGTTTTTATACGCTTTTGACTTTTTAAAAATTTAATATATGGTCGAGCACGGTGGCTCACATCTGTAATCCCAGCACTTTGGGAGGCCGAGGGGGGCAGATCACCTGAGGTTAGGAGCTCGAGAGTAGCCTGGCCAACATGGAGAAACCCCATCTCTACTAAAAATACCAAAAATTAGCTGGCTGTGGTGGCAGGTGCCTGTAATCCCAGCTACTCGGGAGGCTGAGGCAGGAGAATCGCTTGAACCCGGGAGGCGGAGGTTGCTGTGAGCCGACATCGCACCACTGCACTCCAGCCTGGATGACAGCAAGGCTCTGTCTTAAAAAAAAAAAAAAAAAAGTAATATGTAATCGCATTTAATTTTGTGACAATGCTACAATATGGACAATATTATCTTCACTTTACAGTTGAAAACATCGAGTCCCACAGAGGTGAAAAAATCTGCAATGTTAACACAACAGATGTCAGAGCTGTGATTGGACTCCTAGGCTGCCTGATAACAAGTACTCCTCTGTATTCTTTGCATTTAGAATTCATCAGATCCTCACTTAAATCCTGTGAGGGAGGGATTGTTCTCGCTCCTTATGTTTTGAAGGGAACCTGAGGTTGAGAGTTTCAGTTTTCTGCCTAAATATCACAGCTCCAATACCTGGCTGAAGTGATAGAATGCAGGTTTGTCTCACCTCAAGGGCTTTATTCTTTCCTCACCCTGCCCTGAATTCATTATTGGTAAAGGCTTTTAGTAGGGTATAGAGATGAAAACATAAATAACCATAGCACTCATTATATAATAGTGATAATTATTTTTTTCCTGCTGCCATGTACCTAAAAACCCAGACAACATTCAAATGAGTTCTCATTTTTATTTCTTTTTTATATCACACAGATAAAACAAATGTTAGCCTCAAGCCTGTGTGAGAGCCATTGTGTGGTTGTGAATTATCAGTGGAGAATTTATTTCCACCTATACAAAAAGCCAAGGCTGAAACAGGCAATCTTCCTAAATTTCTTCCTCTGTGAGATAGTATATCATTTCACTGAGGTCTGAGCTTTATGAATGGGTCCTGATCAAAGATACAATGTTTCCGTTATAAAGAAAGAAAAAATGGTAAGTATTTGAAGTGATACATATGTTAATTAGCTTGATTCAATAATTCCACCCTGTATACATATATCGTAGCATCACTTTGCACCCCATAAATATATACAATTGTAACTTGTCAATATCCAATAAATAAATAACAAATTCCCATATTGGGCAATCTTTGTTTTGCCGTATATACGGCCTATTAACATCTAAGGATGCAGACTATCAGAAATAGGCAAATAGGGCTGGGCACGGTGTCTCAATCCTGTAATTCTAGCATTTTGGGAGGCCAAGGAGGGTGGATCACCTGAGGTCAGGATTTCGAGATCAGCCCTGGCCAACATGATGAAATCTCATCTCTACTAAAAAAAAAAAAAAAAAAATTAGCTGGGCTTGGTGGCCGGCGCCTATGATCCCAGCTACTCAGGAGGCTGAGGCAGGAGAATCGCTTGAACCTGGCGGGCGGAGGTTTCAGAAAGCCGAGATCAACCCACTTCACTCCAGCCTGGGCAACAGAGGGAGACTCCATCTCAAAAAACAAAAGGAAAGAAATAGGTAAATAGTAGTAACTGAACTACTAGGCTCAGCTCTGTGTTGTCTTTCTAGATTTATATTTTCTAAACTTTTGTAGCTGTGTGGATTTTCATCACTTTCTTTGTCAGCTCAAATATGGATCTCTAAGCGTTTCAAGATATTCTGTAACATATATTTTATATTATCTAACTCATTGTATTTTGAGGCCTTTTCAGAAATCCCATTTCTGTTGTAAATCATGTATTAACTGTGTATATCCTCAACTACATGATATGTGACATTAAATTTTCAACAATTGTAACCTATCTTTTAATAGCCAGATGTGTATAGCCTAGACATACTTTGAGACAGTTCAGTAAGTCACTTTCATCTTGGTTTTTATAGACTAAATAGTAGCCATATATATATATATATATATATATATATATATATATATATATATATAAAATCACTGTCAAATTTATCATATTGCTCCTTAATGTTTTAATAATTTACTTTTTCTGCAAAAAAAGCAAACATATTATTTACTATCTTCACTTTCATCAGTAATATTAGCAAATGGCATAATTTTAGGTATAACTTTCTGTCATTATCATCTCTTTACTCTCATGATACATGTGAGATGAGGATATAAGCTAATAGGTTCACTAGTATACACCAGCTTCATGTTAACTATAATTCAAATTCGTATCTCCGTAAAATGACAAATGACTACATAGCTATGTGTTAAAGTTTTCAGGTTCACTTTCGAATTGATAGAACTGAAAATATGAAAATCACTACTGTCTATAATATATTGCCACATATGTTATTTTCAACATATACATGTCTACTATGCCCTAGTTAAACTGTTTTGATAGTATTTTGAAATTTTTAATACAAGGAAGAAGAAAATACTTGAGAGACTTAGAGTAAAGCAATTTAGTCTATGTTATAAATTCTGGCTACAGAAGAGAAGTGAGTATATTGTTTGTTTTGTCTGTACCCCATTAGAATGTCAGCCTCCTGAAGGCAGGGACTTTGATTTTTTTTTCTTTCTGTACTTGCTGCTATAGCCTTAAAACAGGAAGAATGCTTGGGACTTTGCAGGACCTCAACAATATTTGTTGAATAACCGATTGACTGCTGAATGAATGACTGTTTTACCCTTTGAGAATGGCCAATAATTGTTTAGAAACAAAAACGATTTTAATTATTACTCTTAGGAGTATCTTCACAATACAAATGCAATTAAGTTAAAAGCTAATTAAATATTTAATTAAAAGTTAATAAATAATATTTATTATGTCTACCGAGTTCCTGTTTGAACTAACAATACCAATCAAGACATTTAACAAATTTTTCTCCAATTACAGCTTGACCAAAAATAAATAAATAAAAATTTAAGAAAAACAAACAAACAAAAATAATAGTTTAACTAAATTAAGTGCCTCATTTGATGTCATGTAAACATAGCCCAAATATATTGTAATCTTTTGTTTATTAAACAGTTTAGACATTCTGTGTATTCATTGTGTGCAGGCTGATGACTTCAGTCATCATTCATTATGTAAAAATGATAATTTTATTATTTTGGAAATTTAAGGTCTGTTTTAGAAGAATATTCGTTGAAAAAACTAACTCCATTGTCATGTTTCTATTTAAGGTATTTAACATTACACCAATTTTATTAACACAGGTAGGTTATTGTATTATTGTACAAAATTATACACTTTTAATTGAGTAACTGATTTTTGTGTTTATGTAGATATCTAAGTTTGACTTCAATTTTGAAAATGTCAACAATTTATAGAGATAATTTGTGACCCATTTAACAGAGAATTCTATTAAATATCCTCACCTTTTACTGACATCTACACAAATGTCTAGTTCAAAGATTATGGTAAATACACTGTGGAAAATCAATCAAAATACATTATATTTGAATATTTTTGCAATATAACTTTAGAAACAGTTAAATATTTAAAGTATAATTAAAATATTACACCATTATTCTGTAAATATAGTTGCAAATACTTAACTTATACATTCATATATGAATGCACTATGTATGGACTTAGCTTACATGCCCCAACAGGGTGACTTATACTAGGTAATATCAGTATTAAGCACTGAATAATATCATCAAAGTATGACCCCACTCTTATCTCACTTGTAACATTTCCAGATACTTAATGCTTTCTTCACTGCTCTATACTCCCTCAACAAATTTCTCTGCTATAGCCCTTAATCTTCAACATCAAACTCCATTCTTGATAAATCATGTATTTTTTTTATGTCAGTGTTGCATAACTTTGCTAGAGAAAATTTTATCTCTGTGCAGATTTGGACCACTAAAATTAATGTTCTAACTTAGAATTACTACTATGTTTTCCTCATTGATTTAACTTGTTAACTTTTCCAAGCCATCTTCTGTGATTTCAAGCTACTAGTTATACATTAAAAAAACTCTTCTTTAATTACACACAGCATACATATATACAAATATACATGTATACACATAATTTATAATATGTAGTATAAAAACTTTGTGAAGTTCTTGAAGAGAAGCACATCCTCTCTTCAGGATATATCTGTCTCTATACTTATCATTTTATCCCTCTATATTTAGAAAAAGGGATGCTATTTCTCTTTAATTTTGTTTTAATTGACAATTGTATATATTTATGGGGTACTATGTAATGGTTTGATATATGTTTACATTGTGGAGTGACTAAATCAAACTAATTAACAAATCCATTACCTAACATACTTATCATTTTTTGTGGTTAAAACATTTAAAATGTATTCTTTTAGAAATTTTGAAATAGAGAAGGCCTCATTACTTATTATAATCATCATTCTGTGCAGTAGATCACTAGCACTTACTCCTTGTGTACCCTTTAATCAACATCTCCCCATTCCCTATCCATCCCCCACCCCAAGCCCCTGGTAACCACTATTTTTCTACTTTATTGGTTTTTCTTTTTTATATTTCACATAGAAGTGAGATTATGCCATATTTCTTTCTGTGCCAACTTATTTCACTTAGCATAATGTTCTCCAAGATGCCCTTTCTGAAGTGGCTCTTTTTTAACACATCTATGTAAATCTCCTCTGAGTTTTGATCACATACTCCTTCTATTCCTTCTATCTTTCCTATGCACTGAATCTTGAAAAACTCCCAAGCACTTGGGAAGGTAGAATAATGCCTCTCTGCTTCACCAAGTTGTTCACTTTCTAATTTCCAGAATTTGTGTATATGGTGCCTTCAAAGGCAAAATGGTATTTGCGGGTGTGAATAAAGTTAAAGATATTGAGATGCCAAGATTATCCTACATTGTCTGATGGGCCAGACATAATCACAGGGTCCTTATAAGTGAAATGTAATGGCAGGATAGAGTACTGTAGCAGGAGAAAGAATCAACTGTCCATGGTAACTTTCAGCTGTTAGAAGTGATGGTAATCCTTATGCAGAATATATTTTGAAGGTAGAATATTATGACTTGGAAGGTTGAAAAAAAAAAAAGAATCATGAATCATAAAGGACATATTGAACTTTAACCCAAACAATTGGTTGGAGTTGTCATTTATTCACATAACAAATACTATATAAAGACTATGTTTGGGAGAAGGAACTATGAGTTTTGTCTTTGACCTGCTTAATTTGACATGCTGTAGACATACAAAACAAGTAATTAGCTCATTAGCGGTAAGGCTGGTATTATAATTTCATTAGCATACCAATGATATTTGAATTAATAAAATTAAATAAGGTATCCTAGGAAATAGAAAAAAGGTGAAGAAGGACCAGTTTTGAGCTATGGGATACTCCAACATTTAGACATCAAACAGAGAGGAAGGAACTAGAATCAAAAGACTAAGATAGGCTGGCTACTGAGGTAGGAAGACAATTAGAACAATGTCATGTCACAGAAACCATGGAAATAATGTATTTTCAGAGACCATGTAAAGATTGAGTAAGATGAGAAAAGATAATTGATCATTGTGTTTGGCAACCTGACACTCATTCAATGGTTAAAAGCAAAAGCCCAAATGTGGCTGGATAAAAATGTAATGAAAATGAGGAAGTGGAGACAACATTTTTGAAAATCTTTAAAAATATTTTGCTGTGATAGAGAAGACAGACAAGGTATAGAAGCTGGAGGACAGGATGAAATCAACACCAGGCTTTTAAATATGGAAAAATGTTAATGACAATTTTTGTAAGCTACTGAGAATTGCCTAGCCAGTAGTGAGAAATTGATGACTATACAAGTAAAGACCTTTTGTAGGATAGAAAAGACAGGGTTAACATATAACTTTGTCATCAAGACTGGGAAACTATTAAGAGATAAATGAACAGGGTAAGCTTTTAATATTTAGGCAGGTAAAAGAGTGGTACATTTTTCCTAAGAATATAAGTAACCATGATGACCCTAGTCAAATGATATAAAATGCAAAATGGAAGTAGAGTGCCCTTAGATAGAAGCCGGGATATATATTTCATTGTAACAAGAGGGGAGGCTGAGTAATTGTAAAGAGATGCAATGCATTGGTGAGTATGGTAGGGAGATGTGTCAGTGCTCATCTGATTGCTTTAACTTTTCCTATAAATAATTAGATGAAATCATAAAATAAAGACACAGGGCCAAGCGCAGTGGCTCACACCTGTATCCCAGCACTTTGGGAGGCAGGTAGATCACTTGAGGTCAAGAGTTTGAGACCAGCCTGGCCAGCATGGCAAAACCCTGTCTCTATTAAAAATACAAAAATTAGCCTGGCACCGTGGCATGTGCCTGTAGTCCCAGCTACTCAGGAGGCTGAGGCAGGAGAATCGCTTGAACCCTGGAGGCAGAGGTTGCAGTGAGCAGAGATCATGCCATTGCACTCCAGCCTGGGCGACAGAGAGAGACTCTGTCTCAGAAAAATATATAAATGAATAAATAAAAGATTCAAATAGAAGAGAAAAAATGAGAAGTCACCGTCTTGCAGAGTGAGTTTTAGGAACCCATTTGAAACTTTTATTCATGAATGTAAAGTGAAACTAGTCACCATGATAGTTTGACTTTTATACAGCAAAAGCCAGTTATTCAGGTGTATCCATGAATTGTGTAAATAATTAAATTCAATGAGAGTTAAGGTTAAGTTGGATGAATAGGGTTAAGTTGGATGAATATGATCAAGAAATGAGAAGGAAGGGAGATTCTGCAAACAAGTGATAACAACACTGGAACATACAATCCAACCTACATAGGGAAGAAAGTAAGGGTGGTTCAGAGATAGATGAATATTAACACTGTGTTAGAATCAGTGAATTGGAGGCACCAATAGAGTCAAAGAACTGTAGGTGTGGGATATACTAAAGTAAGTAAGCTAATATCATAAAAAAGAACTAAATACTTGTCAAAGATATTTTTGAAAATGGTGGCTAGAGTGTGGGTGGAGAAAATAATCCTTGGAATTTAGGAAGCCAAGAACACTGAGAAGCCAGGGTATTGGCTGGATTATCTGCACGAAAGTTGAAATCACTATGAATGGTGATTGGAATAAGGGTAAAAAGGAAGACTATGATCCAGTTCCATTGAAGAAAAATGTCTAGGAGTTCAGGATGTAAAGAAAAGGAGTTTGGAACTAATATTGGGAAACAAGGAATTCACTGAGTCCACCTCCAGGCTCTGAGGTATGTGGAGTGAGAAAGGAAAATAGCACTCACTTAAGAAGCCTGTGGAGGGAGTAGGGTGTTTCTTCCAGTAACAGGTTTAACTAGCTTAGACAAAGGAGGAAAACAAATAAAGAAAAAATTGTGGCTTAATATGGGGAATGTTGATCAAAGCGTGTTCCAAAGTCACAGTAGAAAGGCATACATAGAAGGTTAAGAGTTGGGCTAATTTAGGAGATATACAGATAGAAGCATGTGGGGAGAGCTTGAGAGCATTTTGAAAAGCTTGGACTTTTGGTTGTGACTGAGATAAAAAACAATATGCAAAAGGATAATTTATTCCTTGTATATTTAAGGAAGGTAGGTAATCAGTTTAAATTATAGCCTGCACATTCTTTTCAACAGAAAGAATGGGGCCGCTCGGAAACTGTTCCTGTCATTGTTTCAAGCTGCATATCAGCCTGGGATTTGATACAGGGAGTTAACAAGGGATGAGTATCTTTAGAAGCTGGAAAAGCTATGACAATCTGGGGAAGGGATTATCAAAGAGCAAGCAGAGAGCCAGAAGACTTCTGGGGCTTCTGGACCCTTAGGATCATGAGTAACTTCTGACGTCCTCTAGGTCAGCTTGTTTCTTCTATGTGGAAACCACTATCTCACTGAAATATTGTCTTTATGAATGTATTATTTTGTGTTAGCAACTTATTTTTAAAATTAAGATGAAATTTGGAAGGGCAAATTTTTTTTTTTTGCTATACCTTAAAACAATTATCCATACCTTAGAAGAGTTTTTTTTTCTTTTACAACCAGAATGGAGGTTATCAGAGACTGGGAGGGTTTTTTATTACTTTATTTTTCAAATTACTGTACAGTAAATTTGAATATTTGTTTCGGTTGGTGTACACTCCTATGGATTTTAATAAATGGATAGATTTGTGCAACACCATAATCAGAATAGACAGTTCTGTCATCCCCAAAACTATCTCATCCTATCCCTTTACAGTGATACCCTCCTCCTTGCCCCTAATCTCTGGCAAACACTGATCTGTTCTCTGTCCCAATAGCTTTGGTTTTTGAGAATGCCATATAAGTAGAGTCCTGTAGTTTGTAACTTTTTGATACTGTCTTCTTTCACTCTGCATAATGTCTTTGAAGTTCATGCAAGTTGTTTCATGTATCAATTGTTCATTATTATATATTGCTTTATAGCATTCCATTGTACACATGTACTAGGTTACCCATTCACCCATTGAAGGACATTTGTTGTTTACAAGTTTTGGCATTAGTAATTAGAGCTGCTATAAGCATTCACAGATGGGTAGTATAAACATTAGTTTTCATTTCACTTCAGTATACGCTAATGATGGGATTGCTGGGTCACACAGCCAATGTACGTTTAACTATGAAAGAAATTGCCAAACCATTTCCAGAGTGGCTATTTCATTTTGCATTCCAACCAACAATGAGTGAGAATTCTTGTTGTTCTCCATCCTCACCAGCTTATGGTTCGATCATTTTGGGAGGAGATTCCAATAAGTCTGTAAAGGTAGCTCATCACAGCTCTCCATTTCCCCAATGGCTAATGAAGCTTAACATCATTTTATGTGCTTCTCAGTGGAGATTTGGTGGAATAATTTTCATGTATAGAAGGAAGATATGGGTGATATACAACAACAATGAAAATCTCAATATGAACAGCATAAGAATAATCATTCACCAGGGTTTAAAATAGTGAAGATCTGGGAGCTTGATTAGAAGCCAGAGAGGACAGGGTGAAGGACACCTCAATATAATTAGTGAACGTCACTTTTCAAATATAAATTTAATTTTTCTTGACTCTTCTCAGCCTTTATTTAAAAGAGTTATATGTTAATTTTTATATACCTCTTGCTTACTTGCCAAGAAATAAAACAGTAAATTTATGAATGTCCTTTCTTACATATTCTATTTTATCCCCTAAAAGTATTATTTCTACTATTGGTAAGTCTCATACTATTGAGTGGCAGAAATAATATGACAATCTAATTAATATTTTACTACCAGTAATAGAAATTGTGTTTTCTTTTTCGAATCTCTGACTTCTGGGACAAAAATAGAGATATTCTGAGAAAAGTTGAGAGCAACTTTAGAATGAAGAGTTAGTCATAGAACCAGTACAACTTGCTGCAAACATTGTCAAATGTTTCTGACAGAATAGGCAATCCTCTCTTTATTAAACATATGTTTGACATTATGGAAGAAATAAACTTCAGTGCTAGGAATCGTATGCATAGAATGAATCAAATGTTTTTCAGATTCTTAGAATTGCCATAGAATTCTAGTAACCAATAGTTTGCTGAACCACTGTCCTTTGCATAAAGACAATTAAGATATTTTAGCAGGTCAGTTTAAATTATTTCTGGAAGCAGAATTTAATTTTCACTGATTTATCCATTATTTGTATTGCTTATGTCTGCAGTGCCATGCAATTATCAGTAGCCATCTGCAACACACCTTACTGAAGCATGAAGAGACGTATGCAGCTGGTAAATGATGCACACCTAACTGGATCATATAGAAATTTAACTAAATCAAAGAATTTTAAGACCTAGTCCTAAGAAAGCACTTACTATATGCTGGGAAATGTTCTAAGCTGAATAAGCTTTAATATATTTAATCTTTGCAAAAACTCTATCTTACTATTATTTTTATCATCCCTATTTTACTGATGAGAAAAGCAAAGAATAAAGAAAAGGATGATAACAAGCTCAAATTAATTTATCCAGTAAATGGTATAGTCAAGATTTGAATACAGATAATTTCATACCAGTTTGAGCTTTTAAACCACTATGCTATTCTGCTTTCCCTGTACTCCATTATGTAATAACAGTCAATTTACCAGTTTTAACATATTGCAAATTTAAGTCATTCCAAGGCTTCCTGCCTTCAATCCACTAAATAGCATGTCTATTAATTTTTTAAATTAGATTAATTGAAAAAATGTAAAGTTTTAGTCAGTAAATGTTGGCTATTATTATATTTTATTAAGAAATGTGTAGAATTCATTAAGAAAGTACAAATAAGAAGTAAGCAGCACAGATAAACACAGATAAAATTAAACACAGATAAAATTAAGCAGAAAAATGTGTAAGCAATTTTATTTCTGAATATGTAGTACTAATAAACCTCTAAACTTTTCTATTTCCTTTATGTTCCTTACATAAAAGGAAATAAGCACTTTGGGAAACATTGCACTAACACTTTAGGAAAATAATTTACAAATGGTATTTTACTTCACAATGGACTCTTGATCATGCTTAGGTTTTCCTCATTGCAAAGTTGGAAAAACAGCTGTGTTGAGTGGGAACACAGGTTTGAACTTGCTGGGTAAATTCTCATTTGCTTTTAAGCCTCTAAGTCAATATTACTTCTCATTTGTACATTGAATCAAGAGATGACAAGATGTCAGTTTTACATTTTGTCCTCTGATGTGTGAATGTGGAAATAGTCACTGAAGATTGCAAAGAGGTTTATCCTATGTTCAAACACTGGTTATAGAACCACAGCAATAGAATGATGGGAAAAGGCTCCTGTGTATGTGTTCTTTCTGGCAGTGAGTTTACTGCTTAATTTTCTGTCCAGGTCTGATGGTTATAAATATCTTTTAAAACAAAAATGCACTCTCTCAATACCTCAAACTATATGCCAATGTCAGGTTCAAACTGAAGACTGGGCCAGGCTCAGTGGCTCATCCCTATAATCCCAGCACTTTGGGAGGCCGAGGCAGGTGGATCTCCTGAGGTCAGCAGTTCAAGACCAGCTTGACCAACATAGTGAAACTCTGTCTCTACTAAAAATACAAAAAATTTAGCCAGGCATGGTGGTGGGCGCCTGTAGTAGTCCCAGCTACTCAGGAGGCTGAGACAGGGGAATTGCTTGAGCCCAGGAGACGGAGGTTGCAGTTAGTCGACATCGCACCACTGCGCTTCAGCCTGGGTGACCAAGGAGACTCCATCTCAAAAAAACAAAAAACAAAAAAACTGAAGACTGGAGAGTTTCTTAAATAATATTTCTACCTGCTCTTAATAACAGCTGAAGGAAAATTAGTTGAAGAAATCTTATTTTAAAAATTTAATTGGAGGTATCAATATCAAGTACAATCACTAAAACAGTATTTATGACATTGAGATATTTAAGATCTAGTAATTTTTAAATATCTCACCCTTTTCTTTCAAACACAATAATGTAAATGTGGGAGCTTGTGTGAGATATCTCCAAACAGGGACTTGGGATTTTATAGAGTCAATTTTAATGTAGAAACAAAGTTCCAGTGTGCTAGATGAAATTATTATTTTTATGACTGTATTTAATAGAGAGGTACTTTCCAAACTTTATCTTTCTAAATAAAATATCTTTACTAAAAATCTGCATTCAAGTAAACCAGCAATTCCAAAAGACAATTTAATCTGGAGCTTGGAAATTATAAAGAATTTGGAAGAAATATGTAATATAGCTATATACTCCCAGGAAACAGTAGAGAAGATGTGTTTCTATTGAACAAAATAAAGCAAAAAATCCTCTTTCTACATAATAAGATATTCACAACCAGCAAAACATGTGATTCTCATGTAAAGGTGGTAGAGGTTTAATTTCCTTTTCCCTATTTTTGTTTAGCAAAGTCACCCTTTGGCCGATGTTGCATAAAAGAAGCTTTCATGCATGCTTTCTTGATCTCTTCTTCCTTTTAGAGTTCTCATGTCCCCTCTCAGAACCCCCAGATCCTGGCATACTATGACTACTTGTTGGTCACTCACAAAAGCCGGACATTATTTTGTGCTCTATTATTTCCACTAAATATTAAAGCAGGCAACTCTTTATGATACTGTCAGCAAATCATTTTCTGCAAGATCACATTACTAGCTAATGTAACTTGTTTTACTGTGGAGTCTCACTTAGGATATGAAAAGAAGCACTTTTACACATTTCTAAATCACTACTCTAAACCAAGCACCAATAAATTTCCCTTTACAATTTTGATCATACCTTTAGCAAATTTCATAATTTTACCAAATAATAATTGGTGACTGTCTCTGTGGAAATAAATAAAATCTACCTAAATGAGAACAAGCAAAGGCTTTGTCTTAGTCAGTTAGTGCTGCTATAACAAAATTGCATAAACTGGGTGACATATCAACCACAGAGATTATGTCTTCCAGAACTGGTGACAGGATGTCCATGACCATGGTGCCAACACGATCAAGTTCTGGTGACAGCCCTCTTCAAGGTGAAGATTACTGACTTCTCATTGTATCCTCACACAACAGAAAAGGCACAAGCTAGCTCTCTGGCCTTTTGTAATATGGGCACTAATCCCACTCATGAGAGCTTCACCCTCATGACCCAATGACTTCTCAAGGGCCCCACCTCCAAATTCTATCATTTTGGGGATTAGGTTTCAACATAAGAATTTGGGGAGGGGCACAAATATTTTATCTGTAATATGCTTAATATATAGAACTTGCTATAGCAACATGGACAGCTGCTAACACTTCTTTTGTTTGATAGAGACTCAAATACAGGTAGGAAAGTGGTAAAACTCAATAGTGGAAGTAAAATGATAGCTATAATTACGCCCTGATTGGAGACTGTAGGTGAGATAACTAGAAGAGGGGCCATCATATGTGACTGGTTAGGGGAACATATTTGGCTTTCTTCATTTGGTTCTAAAATGGAAGTAGGGCAAAAATTAGGAAAGCTGTCAGTTATTGATCAAGTCCTGGTCATTTGGGGCTGATTGCTACAGGAGTTGCTGTTGGCTTCTAGGACTGGTTGCTGCAGATAGTGGTTTGACTTTTTGGATTGGCTGTTGAAGGCAGTGAGGTGTTTTCCTGGACTGGCTGTTGCAAATTTCAGGTGAGAGTTTCCTTTTGGTTTATAAACTGGCCATTGTCCATTTATGTATTCAGTCTTTTACTGTGTCCAGAGCATTTTAAAAGGAGCTGGAGGAAAACAGACATGAATAATCCTGAACTCAATTACAAATCAGAAGAGTGAGGAAAACTTCATAAGGGAAGTTACATTTGAACAAAACCTTGAAAGAAGTAACAACATCAGCAAAAATAGCACAGACAGACAATGACCTAAGTGGATTATAGGAAGCAGAGATAGAGGTGAAAATTGAAAGCATAGGAATACAGATGGGATTCACAGCAGAGAAAAGAGAAAAATATAAAACAGTAGAGTATAAAATATGTCTTAGTCTGAGTTTTCACCCAAAAAACAGAGGCTAAGACAAAGCCTAGCATATAGGCAATTTATTTTGGAAGGCAAATTTTAGAAAAGAGCAGAGGGACACCAGTTAGAATGTAACAGAGAAAAGGAGGAAACTAATTCAAGGGTATATTTTTCAAAATGATCAACCCTGTGAAAAACTGAGGCTTGTGTCTATCAGTCTCTTCTGTGGAGCCATGTAGAATTGTTCTTCTAAAGGTCACACCATGCACAATTATCCTCTCAAATGCCAGAAGATGAGAACATTTATCCACCAACTTCTGTTGGTCAAAGTATGCCCCATGAAGGTATTAACTCCCTTTCACTTCCAAGTTACCCATGTGTACACACATTTTGCTGGTTAGGTTTCTGTAGGTCTCCCTTTTTAGAGGCATCAGGGAAGTGTGGGGACAGAAAGCAAGAGGTATTTGGTTCAGCTGAAACAAAATACTATTAGGTTACAACTGCATTAAACCAATTGCCAAAGCAATAGCTACAGTAAAAGGTGTGCTGAGAAGATACTTGATATGATTACAATTTTCTTAAATTCATTGAGACTTGTTTTGTGGCCTTTAATATGGTCTATCTTGGAGAATGTTTCATATGCTGATGAAAATAATGCATAATCTTCAGTTGTTGGGCAGAATGTTCTGTAAATATCTGTTAGGTCCATTTGTTCTAGGGTATAGTTTCTGGGCATTTTGTTGTTGTTGTTGACTTTCTGTCTTGATGACCTGTCTAGTGCTGTCACTGGAAGTCCCCCACTGTTATTGTGCTGCTGCCTATCTCATTTTTTAAGTCTAGTAGTAATTGCTTCATGAATTTGGGAGCTCCAGTGTTAGGTGCATATATATTTAAGACACTGATGGTTTCCTGTTGAACTAATCCTTTTATCATTATATAATGTCCTTCTTTGACCTTTTTTTATTGTTGTTGCTTTAAAGTCTGTTTTATCTTATATAAGAATAACTACTCCTGCTTGCTTTTCCTTTCCATTTGCATGGAATATCTTTTTCTACTCCTTTACCTTAAGTTTATGTGAGTATTTATGTGTTTGGCAAGTCTCTTGAACACAGCAGATATTGTGATCGTGGATTTTATTCATTCTGCCATTCTGTACCTATTAAGTAGAACATTTAGGCCATTTACATTCAACATTAGTATTGATATGTGAGATACTGTTCTATTCATCATCTTAGTTGTTGCCTAAATACCTTTTTTTTAATGGTGTTATCATTTTATAGGCCCTGTGAAATTTATGCTTCAATGAGGTTTCTATTTTGGTGTGTTTTGAAGTTTTGTTTCAAGATTTAGAACTCTTTTTAGCATTTCTTGAATTTGGTAGGGGCAAATTATCTCAGCATTCGCTTGTTCGAAAAAGACTTTATCTATCATTTATGAAGCTTAGTTTTGATGGACACAGAATTCTTGGCTGACAATTATTTTGTTTAAGGAGACTAAGATAGGACCCTAATTCCTTTTGGCTTGTAAGGTTTCTGCTGAGAAATCTGCTGCTAATCTGAAGGGTTTTTCTTTATAGGTTTCTAGATGCTTTTTTCTCATCACTCTTAAGATTATTTCCTTTGTCTTGACTTTAGATAACCTGATGAGTATGTGCCCAGGCGATGATCTTTTTGTGATAAATTTTACAGGAAGTTTTTGAGCTACTTGTATTTAGATGTCTAAATCTCTAGCAAGGCCAGTGCATTTTTCCTCAATTAATTTTTCATACTACAGTGGAATAAAACTGAAAATTAATTTCAAAAGGAACCCTCAAAACTATACAAATACATGGAAATTCATCTGCTCTTGAATGATCTTGGGGTTAACAATGAAATCAGGATGAAAATTAAAAACTTCTTTGAACTGAATAATAATAGTTACACAACTTACCAATACCTCTGGCATACAGCAAAAGTGGTGCTAAAAGGAAAGTTCATAGCATTAAATGCCTACATCAAAAAGTGTAAAAGAGCACAAATAGACAACCTAATTTCACTCCTCAAGGAACTAGGGAAACAAGAACAAACCAAATACCAATCCAGCATAAGAAAAGAATTAAATTAAAGAGCAGAATTAAATAAAACTGAAACAAAAAATGCCAAAAATAAGTGAAACAGGAAGCTGGTTCTGCCGGGCACAATGTTTCATGCCTGTAATCCCAGCACTTTGGGAAGCCGAGGCAGGCTGGTCACCTGAGGTTGGGAGTTTGAGACCAGCTTGACCAACATGGAGAAATCCCATCTCTACTAAAAATACAAAATTAGCTGGGCGTGGTGGTACATGCCTGTAATCCCAGCAACTTGGGAGGTTGAGGCAGGAGAATCGCTTGAACCCAGGAGGTGGAGGTTGCGGTGAGCCAAGATCGTGCCATTGCACTCCAACCTGGGCAACAGGAGTGAAACTCCATTAAGAAAGAAAGAAAGACAGAGAGAGAGAAAGAGAGAGAGAGGAAGGAAAGAAGGAAAAGGAAGAAAGAAAGAAGGAAGGAAAGAAAAGAAAAGAAAAGAAAGCTGGCTATTTGAAAAGATAAACAAATGTGATATACCATTAGAGAGAATAACCATGAAAAAAAGAGAGAAGATCCAAATAAGCTCAATTATTAATAGAAATGAAGTGGGAGATATTACAAATGATAACACAGAAATACAAAAGATCATTCAAGGCTACCATGAACAGGTTTATGCACACGAACTAGAAGTCTGGATGAGATGGATAAATTTCTGAAAATATATAACTCTCCTAGATTAAATCAGGAAGAAATTCTGAATAGACCAATAACAAGTAGCAAAATTGAAACAGGAATTTAAAAATTGCTAGCTGGCCATGGTGGCTCACACTTGTAATCCCAGCACTTTGGGAGGCTGAGGCAGGTGGATCACCTGAAGTCAGGAGTTAGAGACCAGCCTGGCCAACATGGCGGAACCCCGTCTCAACTAAGAATACAAAAATTAACTGAGCATGATGGTGGGTTCCTGTAATCCCAGCTACTCAGGAGGCTGAGGCAGGAGAATCACTTGAACCCAGGAAGCAGAGGTTGCAGTGAGCCAAGATCTTGCCACTGCACTCCAACCTGGGCAACAAGAGCGAAACTCTGTCTCAAAAAAAAAAAAATTGCCAACAAAAAAATTCCAGGAACAGATGGATTGACAGCTGAATTCTATCAGGCATTTAAAGAAGAATTGCCTACTTAAACAATTCTTAAAGATAAGGAAAGAGGGAATCCTCCCTAAATAGTTGTATGAAGCCAGTAACACCCAAATACCAAAACCAGGAAAGGACATAACAAAAACAAAACAAACAAACAAACAAAAACTACAGACTAATATATCTGATGAAAATAGATGCAAAAATCCTCAACAAAACACTAGGTAACCAAATCCAATAGCATATCAAAAAGATCAAGTAGGTTTCATACAAGGGATTCAGGGATGGTTTAACATATGCAAGTAAATAAATGTGATATATCACATAAAAAGAGTTAAAAACAAAAATTATATTATCATCTCAATAGATACAGAAAAAGCATTTGATGAAATTCAGCATTCCTTTATGATAAAAACCCTCAGTAAAATTGGCATAAAAGGGACATACCTCAAAGTAATAAAAGCCATCAATAACAAACTCACAGCCAATATCGTACTGAATGGGGAAAAGTTGAAAGCATTCCCCCTGAGAACTAGACCAAGACAAGGATGACGACTTTTGTGATTTCTATTCAACATGAGTGGTGAAAAGTGAAGAAGTACAAGGTCTCAGTAAATATAGAGTAATCATCTAGAGACTGAGCTGTGTCTCCAAGCTTCTGTATCCAACAATATATTTGTTTACAAGGAGATATTTTAGCAGCCTTCAATGCAAATCTCCTCCTCTTCCTTATCAGTATTATAGAAATATTTCTGAACTAAAGTTCACATAATTAGAGTTTACCCCCACATCCTCTGTGCAGGGACGGTGGGAGGGAGTTTGTTTATTTTATACCTGTGGGCAATTCGTATGCTTGTTTTGGGAAATGTCTACTCCAGTCATTTGCCCATGTTTTAATTGAGTTATTTATTTTTGCTATTGAGCTGTTTGAGTTCCTTACATATTTTGGATATTATCCCCTTGTAAGATGCAGAGTTTGCAAATATTTTCTCACATTTCGTAGGCTGTCTCTTCACTTTGTTCATTGTTTCCTTTGCTGTGAAGAAGCTTATAAGTATGATGTAATCCCATTTGTCTGTTTTTGTTTCTGTTGCCTGGGCTTTTGGGGTCATATTCAAAACATTATTTTTCAGACCAATGTCATGGAGCTTCTCCCCTGGAAAACATATAAAAGGCCAACAGATATATGAGAAAATGATCATTATCACTAATCATGAGAGAATGCAAATTAAAACCACAGTGAGATATCACCTCACACCAGTTGGAATAGCTATTATCAAAAAGACAAAAGATAACTGTTGGAGAGAACATGGAGAAAAGGAAAACCTTGCACCATGTTAGGAGAAATGTAAATTCGTATAGCTATTATGGAAAACAGCATGAAGGTTTTTTTAAAAAAAATTAGAAATAGAATCATTGTGTGATCCAGCAATCCTAAAGGAAATAAAATCAGTATGTCAAAGAGATAGAAAAAATGGCTGCACTCCCATGTTTATTTGCAGTAGTATTTATAATACCCAAGGTATGGAGTCCACCTAAGTGTCCATCAATAAATGAATGGATAAAGAAAATGTGGTATATAAGCATAATGAAATATTATTTAGCCATAAAAAGAAGAAAATGCTGTCACTTTTGACAACATAGATGAACCTAGAGGACGTTATGATAAATGAAATAAACCAGGCACAGAAAGGCAAGCATTACATTACCTTACTCCTGTGTAAATCTAATAAGTTGATCGCAGAGAAATAGGGAGTATAATGGTGGTTACTAGGGACTGGGGTGGCTGTGGGGGTGAGGGTAGGGGAAATATTGGTCAAAGGATATCAAATTTCAGTTAGATAGAGGGAGTAAGTTCAAGAGATCTATTGTACAAAATGGCAACTATAATCATATTTTGTATTCGTTAAAAATGCTGAGAGTGGATGTAAAGTGTTCTCACAAAGACGTCAAGATATCCATGTGAGAAAATGTGTATGTTAGTTACTAGATTTGGTCATTCCACAATGCATATATACTTCAAAACAATGTGTTGTACACAGTAAATAAATACAATTTTATTGATCAATTAAAATATAATCTTAAAAAAATAAAAATATTTAAAAATTTAAAAATATAGTTTCATTACACATTGGCCCCTTGTTATCCATGCAGGATTGGTTCTAGGACCCCTGTGGCTACCAAAATCTACGAGTATAGTATAATATTTGCATATAATCAATGCATATTCTCCCATATAGTTTAAATCATCTCCAGATTACATACAATACCTAATACAATGCCTACACATTACTTCTTTTATGTAGAATCAATGTAGTACTTGGTGTGCAACAAGTTCACATTTTGTTTTTTGGAACTTTGTGGATTTTTTTTCCTATATATTTTCAATCTATAGTTCTTGATTTCAAGAATGCAGAAACCATGGATACAGAGAACCGACTGTATGTATATTTTTTTAATGATCTGCTATCAATTTTAAATTTCAACTTTGCTTTAAGTAAATAAAAAATTATACTTCACATTATGTAATTCAAACGGTAAATCAAGCATGTGTGTGTGTGTGTGTGTGTGTATTAGCATTTCAATATGTGGAACATAACAGAACATATATTAGTGGCATATTTTACTGAAGCAAACAGATCTAAATTGATTCATGTTCATAATATTATAATAAATGCTAACCACCTAGTTTAAATTATTTAATATAATCCTTCATATTTTATATCGAGAATGTAAAAAAGTGAAATAAGTACTTTTTGACAGTGTGGCAATTTGAATAAAGCAAGATGTTTATTTTACAAGGCAGTGTTTCGGAATGTATTATCCTCAGAGTCCCACAGTTCTGCGTTTGTCTCATGGCCTGCTGGTTTGAGTGGGAGGACAAGGCTCTGGGATTCCTAACCCAGTGTCAGATGGGTGAGCTGCCTATCTCAGATATTTTTAAATGTCTGCAATAAATTGTCACAAAATATGAATATATCTGCCAAATTCAATCAACTCTATTGAAGACAATCAATGAAACAGGTAACATAAGATATCTTACTGTCAATACATTAGTAATGTGACCATATCCAGAAAACAGAATATTTTTTCCCAGCTATGTAGTACTGTAGTTCTAGTCTCAACAGTGTTTGTCAGAAGAATACTACACATGTGTGGGACAAATGTGTTAGTGTTAATGTTCGTGGTTGTAGAGTAAGAGAAAGTTGAGCAATAGAAATGATAATAAATGACCATTTTCAAATTGCTAGTTTTATATACTAACCTGCTATGTTTCATATTTGCCTGCTTATAAGAACCACTTGGTAAGCTTATTAAACATATTGATGTCCAGGCTGCTCCCCTGTAGATGCTGATGTAGTAGGTCGTGAAAACTTCCAGGATCTCATGAACATGCAAGTTTGGGAAATGCAACTCTAACCAACATAGCTAATAGTGACTTTGACATCAGACTGTGTCCATATGCTTTGATCTGTGGGAAATGTGAACAGCTTGGAAAATTATGTAGTAAGTCCCCATATTTCATTTGACTTCTCATAGAACCTTTTGTTTCTTCCACTGGTGACTGAAGAATTATAGGATGGCGGCAGTGACCCTGGTTACTTTGATAAGGACCATTTACATGTCTGCAGGTTAAAGCATCGAACCACATTTGTAGACAGAATTTAATCGTGAAATCATTAAAAGATACAAAGGAAACTAAAAAACCAATCTATATCAGGCAGATAATATGCTGTGAAAACATAGAGAATACTTTTTACATGTCTTTGGACTACAGAGCCCCTAATAAGAATTAAATAAACCAAATTTCTATAAGAGCACTTGTTTTGCTGATGGTTCTCGTCAAAACAAAACAAGACAATAACAGCAAAATAACATGAAACAAAAAGAAAAATAATAAAAAAAGAATTTTGCTATTTTCACATAAGTTAAACATTACTTTGGATATATTAAAGGTGCCTTTTTTCTTTTTATTGCAGATTCAAATCAGCAGTGCAAAAATACATAAGAAAACAGCATCAGCCCAAACAACACCTGGAGATAAACAGGTGGCCTACATATGCACTACAAGATGAGAAACTCTGCTTTCTAGCACTTAGATGATAGAGGCACCCATTGCCTCTGCTTGCTGTTGTAGCTAATCCACCTATAAATACATTTTTGAGTTCCTAGTAAAATGCATAGCACATATTAATTGGTAGAGTATTAAAAGATATAAGAGTTAGGTGCCTTGAATAACATCTTTTTTCATTATTAACCATACACATTTTTTTTCAGGAAATTTAAATGTCAGTGTGCTATTCCTTCCAATTATTTTAAAATTTTGTGTTTCTTTTTAATTTATTTCCCCGTGTATTACACTTAAGCTTTGTGTCCTTATTTTGTCATTTGTAATAGAAAGCATAGATTTTAATATTTGATTAAACAACCTGAGATCACTGTCATGAGTGCAGTAATTCAATCTGTACTTCATTATGAATATCTTGTTATATTAGGATTTTTACAGATAAGCAAGGAAAAGCAACAGTGTTTTTGAGTTTGATGATATATAAACCATTCACATAAGACTTTTTTCCCCCATAGAATAATTTGTAAATGTGTTGTTAGCTCTAAGGCTGTAGCATCAACACCCTAAACCCTATATAAAGAGAAACAATTGTATGTGGTAAAAGAAGAAGGCATAGTTACTAGCCTGAGTTTAAGAGAAGCTGTAGCATCAATGAGGATATTGATGGAATCAATGAATAATAACCTCATTGTGTCTCCAGCCACAATAATGTTCCATAAGAAAGATTTAAAACATTTATAATTCCTTGAATATATGCTTTGACATTTTGCATGGAAACAGAAATTCTTCTCTTTTAAAATGATGTTGAAGTCTTCATATATGCTGGGATTGTAACATATTAGATGACACTAGTGTAGAATTTGTTTCTTGACATTCTAGAGAAGAAGCAAACCATAATGATTAATAGCTTAGATACTGCATCTAGGCAAATTTAGCTTCTATTCCAAATTTGTCACTGTCTTAATCCATTTTGTGCTACTATAAAAGAACACTGCAGACTGAGTATAATGAACTTAAATTTATTTGACTCACAGTTCTGGCTGCTGAGAAGTCCAGGATCAAGAGGCTGCATCTTGTGAGGGCCTTTGCTGCATCATAACATGGAAGAAGGCTTCATATGGCAAGAAGGCATGCACAACATAATGCAAAAGAGAGGGCAAGATGGGGCCAGACTCAATTTTAGAGCAAACTCACTCTTGTGATAATGACATTGATCCATTTATGAGGGCTCTGCCCTCGTGACCTAATCACCTTTTAAAGGTCCCATCTCTCAGCACTGTTGTGTTGGGGATTAAATTTCCAGCACCTGAAATTGTGGAGACACATTCAAACAATGGCATTGCAACCCTAGCCCCTAAAATTCAAGTCCTCCTTACATGCAAAATGCATCCATTCCAGTCCAATAGCCTCAGAAGTCTTAACTCATTTCAGCATCAACTCTAAAGTCCAGGGTCTTATCCAAATCAGATATCAGTGAGACTCAAGACATAATTCATCCTGAAGCAAATGTCCCTCCAGTTGTGAGCCTATGAAATCAAAAGAAGTTACTTTTTTGTTACTTTTTTGTTATGAAATCAAAAGAAGTTACTTTTTTGTGGCCAGGCACAGTAGCTCATGCCTGTAACCCAAACACTTTGGGAGGCCAGGGCGGGAGGATCATCTGAGGTCAGGAGTTCGAGACCAGCCTGACCAACATGGAGAAACCCCCTCTCTAGTAAAAATAAAAAATCAGTCAGGCATAGTGGCGCATGCCTGTAATCCCAGTTACTCGGGAGGCTGAGGCAGGAGAATCACTTGAACCCGAGAGGCAGAGGTTGCGGTGAGCTGTGATCATGCCATTGCACTCCATCCTGGAGAACAAGAGCAAAACTCTGTCACAAAAAAAAAAAAAAGAAGGTACTTGCTTCCAAAATATAATGTTGCAACAGGCATAGGATAGATATTCTCATTCCAAAAGGGATAAATTGGCAAGAAGACAGGGATAACAGGCCCCAAGAAAGCCCAAAACCCAACAGAGCAGACAACATTAAAACTTAAGACTCCAGAATAATCTCTCATTCCATGTGCCACCTCGTAGACACATTGGGAGAGGTGTTGGGTACTCTAGTCCTCAGGCTGCATTGCCAATATAGCCTTGCTGGGAGCAGCCCATGCAGCAACTCTCACAAGTTGGAGTCTTTTTCCTGCAGCTCTCTCAGGCTGGTGTTGCATACTGGTAACTCTATAGTTCTAAGGCTATGGGGGTGGCTCCACTTTCATGGCTCCACTAGACATTGCCCCAGTGGAGACTCTTTCCGGTGGCTTTGGTTCCATGGCTTTGCTCTTAGAGGAGTTTTTCGCAGTAGCTCTAGCCATGCAGAGTAGTGGCATGAGATACACCTGGACCCACTTGAGCCATGGCTACAGCTCCTGAGGGGCACTGGGCTGAACTTTGGGGAGCACTCTGTAGCAGCTTCTCTTTCCTCCTAAGTACAAAGGTATACTAAATTTTCCACCCTCCATTGCAGTTAGATGTGGCCTAGTGACTGAGTTCTGGCCTGAAGAACACAGACGGAAGTAATATAAGCCACTTCCAAACATAGTCCACAAATCTATAATTTCTCCATTCCCTTATCTGACAGCTGGATTTTGACGCTTTTGGTGATCTTGAGAGTTAAGGATTGAAGCTGGCAGGGCCTGGATCTCCGAATGTCTGCATGAAGCAGAGTGCTTACCTCTATTTCCCACATCCCTTTTGCTTTCTACTCTTAATCCATTTGATTTTGGGCAAATAACCTCTTTAAGATTTAGTTTTCTCATTTGCAAGATGGAGAATATGGAAGTATATATTCAGTGGACTTTTTTGTGCAATGTAATTGAAAAAGCAGATGTAAAACACAGAGCCTGTCACATAGTAGGCATTTAAATGAATGAATGATGCAAGTATTAAGCAGAGGGCTATGCTTACAGTAGTAATCAATGTTAATATTCTACTTTTCTATAAAATACATGGTGGGATTTCTCCCCCAATTAAAGATAAAATAAAGGATTTAAGAAAAGACTGGAAAGTGCAAAATAACTGCTCTGTAGAGTATGCTGAGGAATCAATAAATGATGAAGAATATAATCAATCAGCATGAAACAATTACTCTGGCCAGTTTAAACAATTACACTGTGGAGTTGACTGGTGATACAGAGCTGAAAGTTGAAACACAGTCAAGGTTGAAAATTTCTAAAGGGTTGAAGAAATTTGAAATTAAAATCAAAGTTACCTTTTAGGCAAGCATCTTTCTTATTTCCCCACCTATGAAAAAGTATGCCTATTAGGTGAAAAGCTAATGTTAGACACTGAGAATACTTTCTAACTGCTCTTCCTAGTTCTTTAATTCAGCAACTTTGATTTTCAAAAGGTTTTACTTTTTTTTTTTTTTTTTTTTTTTGAGATGGAGTCTCACTCTGTCACCCAGGCTGGAGTGCAGTGGCGTGATCTCCGCTCACTGCAAGCTCCGCCTCCCAGGTTCACGCCATTCTCCTGCCTCAGCCTCCCGAGAAGCTGGGACTACAGGCTCCCGACATGACTCTCGGCTAATTTTTTAGTATTTTTAGTAGAGACGGGGTTTCACCGTCTTAACCAGGATGGTCTCAATCTCCTGACCTCGTGATCTGCCCGCCTGGGCCTCCCAAAGTGCTGGGATTACAGGGGTGAGCCACCGCGCCCGGCCCAAAAGGTTTCACTTTTTGAAAATCAAAATGGAAACTTCATATAGTCCAAAATCAAAAGAGAAACATGCTTGAGTTTATTGTAGGAATTATTGTAAAAGGAGAATCTCTTCCTTGTGTGATATTGTGTGTGTGAGTAGAACTAGATATATGTGCTTTTTCATTGCATGGATACTATACACCATTTTGTTTTCAAACTTAAATTTCCCAATTATTTGTCTCAAACCACTATTATGATTAGAAGTAAGTTTTTATGTTAGCATATTTATGGCAAACACTTGGGAGGAAACATGTAATAAACAGTATTCTAAATAATAGATAAGCAAACTTTTTACGGGGAATTTTAATCATCCTCTTATGAAACAAGAATGTAGTTAAAATATTAAACAATTTCTTAGTCTGCTTTCCTCGTTGAAAAAATTGTGAGAGTATGTTGCAAAATGGCTCCATCTGCTGACAGTTTGCAGTGCCCTGAATTCATCTTGAATTAAACATTTTATATTTGCCCTTTTCAAACGGCTTAAATGGAAGAGAAATTGAATTGGGTTCTGACATATTTGACAAGCGTGTAATTTTAAATAAGTTGTGGATGATTTTTTTTGTAACTAGAGTCCATGCCTTCTGAGTTATATTCTGTATCTACATTTTAGAGGAGAAAATGCTCACTATTAGAGTTGAACTTTAAAATATAGCCAATGTTTGATATCTGATACATAGATAAAATGCAGTTGAAAGAAAACATTTGAAATGTTGGCATTATGGAACATTTGAAGACAGGGAAAAAATTATTTAGAAAGGCAATGAATTCCCTGCAATGTGGGTCTTGAACGTGACAATTACAGTGTTGGTGGGTTCCTGGGACCAGTGATTTTAGTTGTCAATTAGCCTCAAAGCACTAAATACTAAACCAGTAAGCTCCTAATCCAAATGAGTTGGTGGCAGGGGTTAGGGTGTCTGAAATAACCATAAATAACAAAGAAAAAGGTGAGACCTGGTGGAAGAAGCTAAAACAGCTTAAGGGCAATGAGCTTTAAAGAAAAGGATTTCTTCAACCCCAAATTTCAACAGAACCTGGTTCAAATTTCAAATAAGGGTAGGAAAGTGCTGCTAATTCATCAGTTCCTTTTTCTTCTAAGTGATGCTGATCACTATTAGAAGATACAGAGATAATCTCAGCCACATCAGTACTGTGCAAATGATTTTACACAATGATTTTATACCTCTCCTGAGGTGCTTGTCAGTGTTTCGTGGAAAAATAGGCAACCTCTCATCTGTGATGTTTGATTCATAGCCCTTAGTTTTTGTTTGTTCATTTCTGATAAAACTTCAGGACTCAACTTTCTCCCATTGCACCTCAGGACTATTATTGTCAACATGCAAAATAATGGCTCAGGATGGTGAGGAGATGATATGTGACTGCGATTGGCATTGGAGTGGGCTGAGAAGAAAGCATTTCGTCCTTGTATTGTAGAATAACATAGGAAGAGGGGGCCCATAAAAATGCTCTGGAAAGATTTTGCCACTTTAGAAAGTTGACATCTTGGTATCTCCTCATAGCCTTCTCAATTTCCTCTTAATATCTGAGTACTCTTGGTATAATTTGTTTCTATCTGTCTGTCCGTCTCTGGCCAACCCCCGCCAAAGCCCCTGCCAATCCTGCCCCCTGCCCCTGCCAGGGTGTGTACGCGTCCATGGCTTTCCAGGGGGATGTGTGCATTTTTCCTTGCTAAGAACTGGGTTGTAAACTGCAGTTTTCTTGATTATGAAAGGACAATTCTTACAATGCCCCCTCCAAAAAAAATTTTCTAAATGGAAGACAAGAAGAGGAAGAAGAAAGATATAAGACTACTGAACAATGAAGAGATGAGGGATGACAGTTTTCTGCATTTTGGTACAGCCCCATAGTAGAGTAGGCTAAAGGCAAAGGGAAGAACTAGGCTGGAGAATTCAATCCCTACCCCACACCCTGCCATGTTTCCCTTTGTCACCCACAGACCACTAGCTCCCAGCAGCTTCCTTGCTCTGGTCAAGTCTCCTGTCTCCTTGTTTATGGGAAAAATTCAGATAAAAGAATGAGAGAAGGAATCCATGTATTTTAATTTTTTTGAGAAAGATATTTAGAACACTTCCCTCTTTTAACTGATCCTTTGTTCTTATCTTAAAGGTGTGGTACAAATCTGACTTTAGTGTGAAAGATGATTTTCATTTCCTCTTTTTCTTAACAATAGAGTGAGCTATAAAGTTTTAACCCTGGAGAGACCTAAACCTTTATATTATCAATGTTATATAAGATATGAATATTCAGGATTTATATTATTAACAATGAGAATTTGTCTTGCTGTGAACCTTCTGGGTTTTTAAGTTGTTTAATTTTATTTTTCTTTATGACAGGATAATAATGTTTTTTGAGACTATGGACATACAGGACATATGCAAATTTCCTTTCTGTAAAATTTGGGTGTATATTTAATAGCCAACCCCATTCCCCCAACCAAATGCATAAATCTTAGGATATAGACTTGATGAATTAAAGTATTAGATTGATCTCTTTATGGAGAAGACACTATCGTTTTCTGAGGTTTTATATTACTGCTATAACTATGATGATAAGTATGTTTTGAGACTTTTAGGATGTGGGGTTTATTTTTTACAGTCATAGACATACTAAATACTGCTTGACCATTTTCATGAAAAATCAGAGTTTCATTAGGTAAAATCATAAACGCCAATTGCTTGAAAATTTGTAAAGAAAAAATATACATAAATCAGAATGAAATAAGAACATGACTTACTAAAATGTTAGTAGATCTGTTGAAATAAATAGCATTTTAGTGGCCACAATGAAAATAAAAATCAATAAGAAATTTACATTTTTCTAAATAGCATATCATGGCTGGGTGTGGTGGCTTATGCCTGTAATTCTAACACTTTAGGAGGCTGAGGTAGACAGATCAATTAAGCCCAAGAATTCAAGACTAACCTGGGCAGCATAGAGGAACCTCATCTCTATAAAATTTCAAAATAAATAAATAAAATAAAGAGACATATCTTGAGTTAATATTGAATTAACATTGAAAAAGCAGGCAGTTACCTCATTACAAATATTACAAATTAAAAATGATTTAATAATACTTCTAACAATGCCCATTTCTTTATAGACATTTCAGTGCTGAAAGCAAATTTCCAGTTCTAGTAAAGTATGCATGCATATAAGTAGGTAAATATTTTTAAGGAGAAATATGGCATGCCGTTTACATTGATTTTTTTTCTATCAGTTTTTCAAGGATTTATTGTTATTTAAAATGTTTCACGGACTCACATTAGATATTCTTTTTCTAAAAATACTTTTGAAAGTTGCTTTATATTTTCACTAAAGGTTATTACATTGTTTAAAAATGTATGCTTAATTACACAGAAAGAGAGCAAGTCTCCTCCACAACCCATTTCTTATCTTTATGTATGTATATAAATATTTTCCATGGATAAACAAGTATACACACAAAAACAAATACACGCACACTATACATACATACATACATATAAATCTATCTCCTTGGCCACCTTATGGGAGAATATCCGTATGATGAATCTCTAGTGGAATTATTATAGCTCAGTGTATGTGTATTAGTAATGATTATTGCCATGAAATGGCCCTCCCCAAAATATATATACTCCCACTAACAGTGTTTGAGAGTATTTGTTTTCTCACATCTTACCAATACTGGGCATTGTAATATCAAACACCTTAATCTTTATCAATCTCAGAGATGACCATAGCACCATGACCACTACATATCACTAATTCCCTTTATTCCAAAAGCAAAAAAATAAGCTGTGAGAACATGTCTTAAATAAATATTTTCTAATATTAATAATGTTTCCTTAATTTGATAGGCTTCAACACTAAGTAGCTGTAACAAAACAGAGGTCCAGCTGCTTACCACTTGGGGAGTCCAATGACAAGAGTGAGGTATGGTGGAAAGGAAGTGACTTTATTAGCCAAAACTAGTAATGGGGAAGTGGCCAGATTCCCATCCAAAGTAGCCACTTCAAATTTCTGGTGAGAAGGCAGGATTTTAAAAAGCGAGGACTTGATATGAGAGGCATGCAGGAGTTGTGCTGGGTACAAGGTTTGTATTTTTTGTTTCAGTGGCTATCTTGGGTTTCAGTCCACCTTGAGTGCAGGCTGGCATCACCTCTACAGTGGTTGGGATGTTGATTAGCTGCCTTGAGGTTGTATCTGGAATTTTGCATCTGGGTCTCCAGGCTTGGTCTGTCTGTCTCAAGATTAGCCCCCAAAAGTTTCAAGTAAACACATAATTAGATACTAACATACAGTTAGGTAAATGTGAAGGGCGTATACAGTGGGAAAGTGAAGGATGTGGATTCTATTTTAATGTTAAGGAGAAAAGGCTTCTGCAGTTTGCTTCAAGGTTACGTCTTGAGACTAGGGAGAAAAGAGAAAAAGGAAAAAAAAAGTTTAAAAATGCATTTTGAAGTCAAGTTGCTCAGTTACATAGCCATTTGCCCAAAGCTAGTTATGACAGATGGATAGGGAATAGAATCTTATTGTTTCTTTTGTATCTTGTGTGCAAAATAACAATAATAGTAATAGTAATAGTAATTATAATAATAAAATATTTAAATAAAACAATAATTAAAATCCCAGCATAATTATTCTAAGTGTTAATATTCATTTCAGAATTGTATCACTCAGTAGATACTTGTTTTATTGTAAAATAATATAGAAGCTAATTGAAGTTGGGCACCATAAAAACAGGAAAGCACTAGCTGTTTCTCAAAGAAATATGTGGTAATTAAATGTTTTAATAACACATGACTTAATGACATAGTCTCAATCTGTGCTTATAAACGTGTTTTTCTGTCAGACTCTCCCATTTACTGAAAGAAAAACAGTTTATGATGCATTTTAATAAGAATCATGCTTACAAAAAAACACTGTAGTTTTATTTTTGGTATCAAAATATTTTTCAAATTTAAGGTTAATTATAACAAGCTAGCATGCGGAAAATATTTTTCCTTACAGGAACCTCAGTGAATTAGTCAAAAGTGTTCAAAAGATCAGTCATATTTTCTGAAGATGTTATTTTTAGATAAATAGCTTTCTTTTTTTTTTTTTTTTTTTTGAGACGGAGTCTTGCTCTGTCGCCCAGGCTGGAGTGCTGTGGCGCAATCTCGGCTCACTGCAAGCTCCGCCTCCGGGGTTCACGACACACTCGGCCTCAGCCTCCTGAGTAGCTGGGACTACAGGCGCCCGCCACCGTGCCCGGCTAATTTTTTTGTATTTTTAGTAGAGACGGGGTTTCACCATGTTAGCCAGGATGGTCTCGATCTCCTGACTTCGTGATCCACCTGCCTCAGCCTCCCAAAGTGCTGGGATTACAGGCGTGAGCCACCATGCCCGGTGATAAATAACTTTCAATAAAGTTTATAAAACCCAGCTGTCCTCAGAAAGTTAAAGCTTACTATTTCTTCATGCATATCTAGTACCAAAATAGGGAGAAGACATTTTAGATAAAGATAGTTGCAATTAGAATTTGATCAGGGAGACATACTTAGAGTGATGAGCTACATTGAATTGGAAAGAGTGCATGATTCCTTTTTCTCTCATTGGTGTAATTTGGAAATCAGGATAATTTTATAGGAGTTTCTTAATGAAACTATCCTCAGAAAGTTGAATTGTCATTAATCAATTGATAAATTGGCACAATTCCAATCAATTCTTACATGATCTCAAGGAATATCACTTAATTAACTAACTTTTGATTTAATATTTGTTCAATGATGAGAAAGAGACAAGGAGAGAAGAGCTGCAGCCCTTTGGGGAGTCCAGACCTAGGAGCTCCCTGAGACAAGGCTGTGACACCCTCTTTGGGGCTCTGCAGTTCCTGGCATCTCCAAGCTCCCAGGTGCCACCATGCCACCGTGTTCCCTGGTGCCAGCAGTGGAAGCTGCTTTACAGCAGCACCCCACTCTACTGGTACTAATTTACTGTATTAGTCCATTTTCATGCTGCAGATAAAGACATACATGAAACTGGGAAGAAAAATAGGTTTAATGGACTCACAGTTCCATGTGCCTAGGGAGGCAGAAGGCAAAAGGCACTTCTTACATGGCGGTGGCAAGAGAGAATGAGAGAGAAGCAAAAGCGGAAACCCCTTTAAAACTATCAGTTCTCGTGAGATCTCACTACCATGAGAACAGTATGGTGGAAACCGCCCCCATGATTCAATTATCTCCCACGGGGTGCCTCCCACAAAATGTGGGAATTATGGGAGCTGTAATTAAAGATGAGATTTGGGTGGGAACACAGAACCAAAACATATCAGATATCAAGGTATTTAACTCCAACAGCTATTGTCCTTCACTATTATTTATTACTGAATTGATTATTTCTTATATTCACCCTTTCTGATTACGTTATCATTTTATTTTAAATCAAAGTTCTTATTAAATTGCACAATGAAAATTTCAAGTTTGATATGTGAACTTTGATTTATTTGTAAACAACTTTGGTTGCCTGTGAGAAATTTAAGACAAAATATATGCCAAAAAACTAATGTGCTTATGTATCTAAAAGTATGCACAGTGATTAAAAATAAAACATGTTAAGTATATTGATAGCCAGGCTAAACAAATATAAAGAATTATGCATCATTATCTTTTACTTTGAACATGATTCCTTTGATTCTGGACATATAGAACTAAATTAAATAATTTGCTCTGGGAACTCCTCCCAACAGGTTTGTGTATAACGTGTGTGGTCTCAGGTTTGTATCTGAGACAGAAATCTACATAATCTGCTATTTTAGTGTTATTTCATTTTTCCCCTTCAGCCTCACTTATTTGTGGTGCATGCTAATATAGTTTATCCATTTCAAAGGATGGGGCTACAATATCCTTGTCATAAAGCATTCATAAAATAATGTATCATTAAAAAATGAAAAACATTGGTCTGATCCTAAAGGAAATAAACCTATTCATTTTGGGATGCTGACATTAACATTAAAGGTGTAAATATTAAATGCAGGAAGGGTTGGTCATAGGCTCAAGCTGCTTTAACTCTTTTGTCAACTTTAGATGTTTATTAATAATGATTAACTTTGGACTGCATTATAAGAAGATCTAAACAGTCCCAGTGAAAATTATTTTGTTTTTCTGTTGTAAGTTTCCACAGAATTTCAACTCATATAATGCTTGTATTTTGTCTGGAATCCATAATAAAATTGGACTGTCTTTGGTAAATTACTACTGAATAAAAGAAATCACAATTGAACCATATATTAAAGTGAGAACATGTATTTATGTATATTTTTTAAATACTCAAAAATTGAGCAATGGTAAAAGAAAGGTTTTATCAAATGAAACTTTTTTTCAGAATATTGTTTTTAAATCACATAAAATGTATATTGCTTTCAATTTAAACACAAGAAACAAGTAAATGAAGGCTGAAAAAGTAATTAGTACTTCAGGAAATTTTTCAAAATACAGATTTTGATATTGAATAAATATCAATATTTATAATTGTTTTTGTTATTTTATTATCTTAGAACATTAGGTTGTTTTTTGTTGAGATAATCATCTTAACAGAAGAATATAATACCTAAGAAACATAATTGAACAGATAAAACATTTTTAATTTCATAGAGGTCAAAATAAGAAGGGGAAAATGTCACATATAATCTTCACAATCAATGCCTTTTTTTTTTTTTTTTTTAGACAGAGTCTTGCTCTGTCACCAGGCTGGAGTGCAGTGGCACAATCTAGGCTCACTGCAACCTCCGCCTCCCTGGTTCAAGCGATTCTCCTGCTCCAGCCTCCCATGTAGCTGGGACTACAAATGCATGACACCATGCCCAGCTAATTTTTATATTTTTAGTAGAGACAGGGTTTCACCATGTTGGCCAGGATAATCTCGATCTCTTGACCGTGTGATCTGCCCACCTCAGCCTCCTGAAGTGCTGGGATTACAGGCATGAGCCCCCGCACCCGGCAAAGGCCTTAAAATATCAGATCAACTGAGGTGAAGGGGAGTGGGAGCTCTAAATAAGCATTTCTTTGCCTCTCTTCTTTTAAGGAAAACTCCTCTGAGATTAATTTATTATTATTATTAATCAATCAATAGTGTTTGCTTTATTTTTAGAGAAATTACACGAGATAATAAATCCAAATGTGAAGCTTGAGAAATTGGGTTTGTATGGTACAAACTTTTTGAAAATTCTATAAAGCATCATGAGATATTGTTCTATTCAATTTCCAGATACTGAGCCCACCAAAAGCTTGTTTGGAGATTGTCTTTATAGTTTTATTTGAACACAAGGAATACTTTTGTCTTTAGAGAGGTGCTGGGGGATTTCATTTACATGGGCCCCATCTCATGTATATAGATTCCTCATGCTAAGTGCAATAAAGATACTCTGCCTCTGAAATATAGGTTGGACATGTTAAATCCCTTGTGTATATACACGCACATGAATATATAACCAAACAAGATGGTTAACATATGACATATGATAAAATGTTAATAAATTGTTTGAGTGCTAGGAAAAAAAACATTCAAACAGAAACTACATTAAGTAATTCAAAATTGGATCCCTTTCTTAAGCAGGGCTTGGGAATAGATTTCAAATCAGAAGCCCAAATGCCAAGAATAACAAAATTGAGATTATCATGAATGTAAAGTTTTAGTTCTATAAAGAAGCTTTTCGGCACTTACTAGGCAAGTCTATAAATTAAAGGACATTCATGTTAGAAGATTATGTATCCTCTAATATTTTTGAATAAAGCTAGTTCCATGTTATTAAAATGGAGTGCTATTATCTAATAGTACTAGACCACAAACAAAACTATTAGCACAAAGAAGAAAGAAAGACATAAACCTCAAGAAAATATTATTAATACAAAGCCTGTTGATACATTAGAAGATAACTTTATTCTAAGAATACTTGTACTGGTTAAAATAAATATTTTGTGTTAGTTTTTTTTCCTTTATTTCTTTTCCTTATTTGTCTGTTCTTTTTATTGTCTTCCCCTTCCTTCCTTCCTTCCTTCCTTCCTTCCTTCCTTCCTTCCTCCCTTCACTCTTTCTTTCCCTCCTTCCTTTCTTTCCTTCTGTCCTCTCATTTTTTTCTTTTTTTTCTTTGTATATTCTTTTAAAACACAATTTGAAGAAGTGAAAGACAAATTAATGACCAGTTACCACGATGGTCAACCACCCTAGAAACATCTCACGGTTCACTTTGCACAAGCCACATACTGTTACCCCGGAAAACAAAGAAAGGAAACCACAATAGTAGTGAAACCTTCAATTACTTCATTGCATATATTTTATATCATTCCTGGCTTAACTAATATTATAAAAAGTAATTTTTAAACACGTATGCTTGTTTTTCTTTTATTAACAAAAACTAAAGATTAAATACAATAAAAATCAGGACAAATATAAACAGGTATAACATTGTGTAACAGTTTTTATTGTGCCTTCTTACATGCAATTTTCTTGGTAGATAAATGAAAGCCAAAATATGTTGGCAACTACATAGCATTTTAAACTTTATTTGGTTTGAATCTTGTGAAAGTAATGTTGAAAATGTCATATGCACATCAGCATTCAGTATATTCAATGATGACTAAAAGCACACATTTTACAAAGTATAGAAGAATTGCTACATTTAAAGGTGAAAAGCTGGGCTGGATGTGGTGGCTCACGCCTGTAATCCCAGCACTTTGGGAGGCTGCGGCAGGTGGATTGCCTGAGCTCAGGAGTTCAAGACCAACCTGGGCAACATGGTGAAACCCTGTCTCTACTAAAATACAAAAACTTAGCCAGGCATGGCGGCGTGCGTCTGTAGTCCCAGCTGTTCGGGAGGTCGAGGCAGGAGAATTGCTGAACCCGGGAGGCAGAGGTTGCAGTGAGCCAATATCGTGCAGGAGAATTGCTTGAACCCGGGAGGCAGAGGTTGCAGTGAGCCAAGATCGTACCACTGCACTCCAGCCTGGGCGACAGAGGAAGACTCTATCTCAAAAAAAAAAAAAAAAAAAAAAATGGTGGAAAGTTGTTATCTTATTGTACTTAGAAATGTATACTGTTTGAACTTATCCTTAATGTTAATCTTATTTCTGGAGGTTATAAGTCCCAAATGGTATAGAAGTGCTGACTCAGAACTGACTCAACTGTAGCCAAAAGGACCTTCTGAAAGATGTCATTAGCCTGAGGGTGAATGAGGGATCTGTAGTCGAAAAACGGAACTAGAAAATTCCGGTGATATTTCAAAGATTCAGCTTTAGTCTAGAGAACTGCAACACACTCTTCCATGTTTCTTGGGTTTTTGACAAAAGTCATTTAGATACAGAGGTAGAATATAACAGTCAAAGTCATCAATCCAAGCCCCTTGTCCCACATTGTTTTCAACGTGGTGCTTTATGCTTTGCTTCTCTCTCTTTCAAAATAAGTTTCCTAGATATGCCATTATTTTTCCAGTTTATAGACAAGAAAAGTGGAGCACAATAAAAGTTATAAAATCTACCTGAGGAAGTGGCAGAATTAGATTCTGAACCTGAATACACCTGATTTTAGAGACTAATTCTTTAATATCAAGCATTATAGTATAATGGTTAAGAGTGCCAACCTTCAAGTCAAATCAACTGAAGCTTGAGTAGTGTGAGTGTGACCTATAAAGCTGTGGGACCTTGGAGGCTGATTTTCTCACCTATAAAATATATATTAAAGTGGTGTCTATTCATAGCATTGTCATGATGAAATGAGTTAATATATGTAAATCAGAGTAGTGCTTGGAGCTGTAAGAAGCCCTATATAAACCTTGGCTCTTGGTATCACTCCATTGTTTGCTGTTGAAATTAGATTGTACATTTAGATAAAGTTATGTTAAAGTGTCTGCACAATAGATCTGGATACCTAACTTTTCAGGATTATCTGATGTGATACAATAATGCATTACACTAAATTACTAACATAATGAAAATAGAATATAGACTTAGTATTTCACATAATCTTATAAGCTTTTGTAAAGCAGTATTGATTCATCCTCCTATGGGAGGTCAGTATACAACGTGAAAAGCATATGAAGGTAGAAGGTATTATCTCTACAATTATGTGAAAAACAATACTTTATTTTCCTTATGTTTCTGTTGCTACAAAATAACAATTGTTACCCCCTTCCCATGCCTGGGGAGGATGGCAGAGAAAAGCAGAAGAGAAAGAAACCTTGAAATATAAATTAATGTGTCTAATATTATACTTATTTTTCTTTCCATTTTAGGCATGGTTAAAGAAAGAAATTATTTGTGCTGTAGGTTCTTGTTAAGTAAATCTCTGTGTCAAATGCAGGAGCACAGCTTCATTTGACATTGCTCCAGTCAAAATATTTTTATTTTTGTCCCCAGTAAACACAAGTCCAATGCTGCTGCCATTGTCCTTTTCTACTTTGTCCTCAAAGTAAAAAACAGTGAGGCAAACATCAGTAGATAGAGTCAGAATTCAGCTGTCACCTCTTAGAGAAAACTTTTACCTATGTTTTATCTTTCTGCCAGGGACTTAGAACAATGTAATGAAATGTGACTGAAAAAGCTTTCAGATATAAGATCAGTAAGTGAAATCATGCATTTATGTGATGAAAGTAAATTCCCTTCTAATAGAGCCATTTTTAAAGTTCAAAGAGATCCTTTCCATGTTAAGATGTGTTCAAGTCTCACAAAAATTTAAAAACATTATGATACAACTTTATTTTAAACAAAGACTCGAATATATTTATTGTAACGTATTATTTCTGTATTAAATATTGTGATGGGCTGAACTGCATCTCACCAAAATCTCATATGTTGAAGCCCGAACCCCTAGAATCTCAGAATATGACTGTCTTTAGAGATAGGACCTTTAAAGATAAAGGTAATTAAGTCAAAATGAGGTCATTAGGGTGGACCCTAATCTAACATTACTGATGTACTTATAAGAAGAGGAGATTAGGACACATGGAGAGGCATCAGGGGCAGGCAAACCATGGAGAGAGGCCTTACAGGAAACCAATCCTGCCAACATCCTGACCCTGCACTTCCGTTCTCCAGAACTGTGAGAAAATAAATTGCTATTGTTTAAGCTACCCTTTCTGAGGTACTTTGTGTTGGCAGCTCTACTAAACTGATAAAGATTTGATGCGATATTGTGTCAAATGACATCTATATAAATTAGTACATAGAGAAATTTGGGAACTACATTTTTTTTAAATATCTATTATTTAAAAATGTTATGAATCTTCTTGGTTTTCTTTGATAACATGCCTTAGTATTCATAAATATTATAGTGTTTTGAAATAAGTATGAATATGTGATTTTGGCAATTGTATTTGCTTAATGTTGGTAAGTCTCAAAAAGCATCATATATGCAATTAGATTTGTAATTCACAATGACTATGATGAAAGGAAGTCAAGATCATATATTACAATAAAACCTCCTACTTCACTTTAATCTTACTCACCAGATTAACCAACACTCTTAATGGCCTCTGTAAAAGAATCTATATGGCTCACTTCTTGTTGGCTACACACTTGTTTGCAAGCATTTTTCTGCATCGACATGGCTATACATGGTAGTATTGATGCTAACCATATCGATCCAGTTTTACTTATTACTGCAAGTATATATTACAGTTATGATGTAAAACTATGAAATTCAAATGTGAAAAGAAAGATGGTGCTTTGTTTCCATTAACATTAAGCTGACTGTTTTGAGAAGCCTTCATATTGAAAATGGCCTTAAAAATTATAATCAAGCCAGGCGCGGTGGCTCACGCCTGTAATCCCAGCACTTCGGGAGGCTGAGGCGGGTGGATCACGAGGTCAGGAGTTTGAGACCAGCCTGGCCAACATGGTGAAACCCCGTCTCTACTAAAAATACAAAAATTAGCTGGGCATGGTGGCACGCGCCTGTAATCCCAGCTGCTCAGGAGGCTGAGTCAGGATAATCGCTTGAACCTGGGAGGTGGAGGTTGCAGTGAGCCGAGATCAGCCCACTGCACTCCAGCCTAGGTGACAGAGTGAGACTCCATCTCAAAAAAAAAAAAACAAAAAAACAAAAAAACAAATAAGGTGTTTGTGAAAAATTTGAAAAATACTGAATAAAATAATCACAAAAATCTGGAAAGATTACAGTAAGATTATTTGGTAACTTTTTGGCATTAAAAAATTAAAATAGGAGGCTGGGCACGGTGGCTCACGCCTGTAATCCCAGCACTTTGGGAGGCCGAGGTTGGGCGGATCACAAGGTCAGGAGATCAAGACCATCCTTCCTAACACGATGAAACCCCGTCTCTACTAAAAATACAAAAACTTAGCCGGGCATGGTTGCACATGCCTGTAGTCCCAGGTACTCGGGAGGCTGAGGCAGGAGAATCGCTTGAACCTGGGAGGTGGAGCTTGCAGTGAGCCGAGATCATGCCGCTGCACTCCAGCCCGGGAGACAGAGTGGGATTCTGTCTCAAAAAAAAAAAAAAAAATTATAATAGGAAATCATAGAGCTTTGGGAATATATTTTATGCAATACAAATGAAGTAGAAATTTAATGAAGTTCTGCTTGTTTTTTCATAGTGTTGTATACTTAGAAATAATAAAATCTATCCAGCACACTGGAAAAAAAGCAAAAGATTGCTCATGGCCAGTGTTGACTGCCCTGGGATTTTTTTTTTTTTTTTTTTTTTTTTTTTGTTAGATGAAATCCTGCTGCTCTGTTGCCCAGGATGGAGTGCAGTGGGGCGATCTCATGCTCACTGCAATCTCCGCCTCCCGGGTTCAAGTGATTCTCCTGCCTCAGCCTCTCGAGTAGCTGAGATTACAGGCACGCTCTACCACACCCACCTAATTTTTATATTTTTAGTATAGATGGGGTTTCATCATGTTGGCCAGGTTGGTCTCGAACTCCTGACCTCAGGTGATCCACCCACCTCAGCCTCCCAAAGTGCTGGGATTACAGGCATGAGTCAGCACGCCTGGCCTTGGCCTGGGATTTTCTGATGTCTTCATCCTTGCTTGGCCACCCCAGAAATTGTTACCTCAACATACCTAAAATAATTTGCTACTTAGAAACTACACTAATAGGTTGATGCACAAATATGTATTGATATATTTTAAGGTAAAATAAAATATTTAATTACAGTTCTTGCATATACATATGCATATTTATATTTTTATATGATCATCCACTTTAAACAAATTTTTCCATTAACCAAGAAAGAATGGTCCTGATGGAGCAAGATATGAGGACATTGGCAGGTCTTAAATTGGCAGGTCAGTCTTGAAGAAACATAAAAATGTTCATAATAAAAAAAAAATTTTTTTAAATCTAATTATATATAAGCCCAAAAATAAAATACTTAAGATGTTATTAGCTGAAAATATTTTTGCTTAAATGAGAACGTTTAATTAAGTTTTTAATGTTTTTTCTCTAACATACTTTTAGTAAATTAAATAACAATGTAAAAACAACAAGCAACCTCTATCACAAAACAGGCATCTAATAAATTCAAATTGAAATTGGAAATGTAGAAGTTTATTAGTATTCAACTGAGAAAATTTTACTATTTTTTAATATTAATGCCATGTTTTATATGCGATTTTGCTTCTTTGTTTTCATTACCTAATTTATGGGAAGTGTAAGATAACTCAGTAAAAATGATCTCATTTCGGGCAATAGGGAGGCAAAACAATAAAAAAGGGGAAATTAAAGAAAGACAGCAGTCCCTATTTTTTTTTAAAAAAGGAGATTTTCAGTAACCAAAGATATGCATAAATAAATCACACTCTAGGTTCTCGGGAAAGCTGATGTCCATGCTGATGCATGAGTTTATATTTAATCTATTGTAGATTTATATGACTAGTAATATGTACAATCTTTCTCTTTCTCTCACTCTCTTTCCCTCGCTCCCTCTTCCTCTCTCACTTTAACATAACTATTTCCATCTTAGAAAATTTACACAGTAGAATAATTTAAATTCTTCCATACAATAAAGAATGTAAAACAACACTGGCCTTTGCCACATTTCTTCTGATTTATAAAAATACCCACCATTTTCAAAACAAAAGGAAGTTAAAAGTGAGTTTTGTCAACGAGTCTGGGCCTCATCATAGAGAACATTGGATATATTTGCAGTAATACCTTTTCTTTTCAGATAAAGTTTAGAGTTCATACGTGTATTAAGTAAATAGTAAGACTGAATTTTACAAAATAAAGAGAAAAAGGTTTTCTTGCTTTTGTTGCATAATTCTTGAGGCTCTGGTGTCCAAACTTTATAATAACACCAAACACTCTGTCTCAAAAATCTGCTTAATATTATGTTTCTAATGGCAAGAATGAATCTAAGTATACAGATATAATTTCTGAATCAAGAGAAACATTTTAAAGCGGTATAGTTTTATTCATGTGGGAAAACCATTAAAATTAGAAACTGCGGCACAAGGCCGAGCGCGGTGGCTCACGCCTGTAATCCCAGCACTTTGGGAGGCCAAGGCGGGGGATGACCTGAGGTCAGAAGTTTGAGACCAGCCTGGCCAACATGGTGAAACCCCGTCTTTACGAAAAATACAAAAATTAGCCCGGTGTGATGGCAGTCGCCTGTAATCCCAGCTACTTGAGAGGCTGAGGCAGGAGAATTGCTTAAACCTGGGAGGCGGAGGTTGCAGTGAGCCGAGATCACACCATTGCACTCCGGCCTGGGGGACAAGAGTGAGACTTCGTCTCAAAAGAAAAAGAAAAAAAAAAGAAAAAAGAAAATGGCGCACAAAAATTATTTATTTTATTCTGATTCATATATATATATTAAATGTTTTCTTTCTGACTAGAATAATGCTTAAAAATTTTAAAAAGTATTTGCATTAAAATTACATTGCTGAATAATGTCACATGAACATCCCAAAGGCTACTTCTATTCTTAAAGGGATAGTCCACCGTCATAGCTTACATTTATAAAGGCCTGGTGTCTATTATGATATCAACTTAAAATGCTTAAAAATATAAATTTAGGATTACTGTTTTAAAAAAAAAGTTGACAGCCGGGCGCCGTGGCTCACGCCTGTAATCCCAGCACTTTGGGAGGCCAAGGCGAGCAGATCACAAGGTCAGGAGATTGAGACCATCCTGGCTAACACGGTGAAACCCCGTCTCTACTAAAAAAATACAAAAAATTAGCTGGGTGTGGTGGTGGCTGGCGCCTGTGGTCCCAGCTACTCGGGAGGCTGACGTAGGAGAATGGCCTTAACCTGGGAGGTGGAGCTTGCAGTGAGCCGAGATGCGCCACTGCACTCCAGCCTGGGCGACAGAGCGAGACTCTGTCTCAAAAAAAAAAAAAAAAAAAGGTTGACATGCCTCTTAAAGCAGACTACAAATCCCATAAAATAAATTTTTTTTTTCTAATTTATGCTTATGGTGCGATTTCATTTCTTACAACCCGAACACTGGTTTTCCACATAAGTTGCAGATATTCATTTCTACTTACAAAAGTGTAATACTGTCTTAGAAAAAAATCCTGTCTTCTTCACAAATGTTCATATGATATTTGTTGAGAATTTTCCCGACTCCTCCAGTATATGTTAAACTCAATTATTAACCCATAGTTACAAGCTTTAGCAAAAAATATTACTGATTATTAAAAGCTAATCTATGAGGATGCAAAGGCATAAGAATGATACGATGGACAATGGGGACTCGGGTGGAAGAGTGGGAGGGGGGCGAGGGATAAAAGACTACAAATATGGTGCAGTGTTTACTGCTCAGGTAATGGGTGCACCAAAATCTCACGAATCACCACTAAAGAACTTACTCATGTAACCAAATACCACCTGTACCCTGGTAATTTATAGAAAAATAAAATAAAATTAAAAAGCAAGCTGACTTCATAAATATATATACCCATTAAGTGCCCACGAATATTAAAAACCAAAAAAAATCTGATTAAAAAACTAATTTATATTATTATGCTTTTTATCTAGTTGAAAAAATTTTTCCTCATGAATTACCTGTGAATTAGGAGAATTGCATGTCATTTACACTAAATAATATTAAAATGAATGACAATTGTTCTGGCCGTGGAGAAGTGAAGTTACTGAAAAAAGTAACTTGAGAACATTTAAATAAATCCCACCTGGAAGTCTGATTTAAAGTAACATTTTATAAAATGTGTATTATGCATTGTATTTAATTTTCAATATAGCTGTTGTGGGATTGTTGATGGCTGTTCTGAAACCTCAGTTCTTGTCTTTTTATTTCAAAATAGTTTAAACAAGAGACACATAGCAAAGGAGATGCAGCATAGAGCAATTTATTGCAAAAGAGAAAGAGTAGCCTGAAAGCTAGGTACAGAATAGGCAGTACAGCCTGAAAGAGGATTCAGGGTGGTCTACTCCTAAGATGAGACAGCAAAGACCGGCACTAAGGAGACCCCCTTTATTGGGACAGTTTCATGGTTATTTATATGGGGGCAGGAAGAGGTGTGGCCAGTAAGTAAGCATGTTCCGGGAAGTCCCAGATGCTAATGAGACAGATTTACATCTTCATCTTAAATCTTCACCCAAGAGTGTGTTTTATACTATTATAATGAGAAAAGCATCAGTCTCAGGACAGGTAAAAATCAAAATGCTCTCTAAAGGGGAAATTCCCTACTGAAGCTAGCTTTGCTTGAATGAGCTGGACTACAATGTGAATGCTGAGGTTTATTGTGTTGATGATGTGGTCAATATGGTGGTTGTGCCCAATATGGTGGTTGTGCCCTGAGGACATAGTGACTTCCTTGACTACCTATCCAGCCTCAGGATGAAATGTTAAGTCTGCACAAATAATTTATTGCCATTATCATCAAATAGCATTTATACAACAGAGTGATGTGTGTGTGGTAAATGACATGCAACTAAATTACAAAATGTATTTATTGTTCAAAATGCACATTCTCAAAATTGTCAATGAATTGTGGCCTGTAATAATTGTAAGAATTTGATGAAATAAATATGTTAAGATAAAATGACAAGTTAATTAAATATATTTTGGGTAAGGAACTTCAGACGAGATACTCTAATAAAGAAGAAATTAGTTAATACAGCCGTGTATCAACAGTCATTTGAAGTTTTAGAATTGTAACTCCATTAATTTTGCAGTTTTTTGTTTGTTTGTTTGTTTTTTGAGATGGAGTCTCGCTCTGTCACCCAGGCTGGAGTGCAGTGGCATGATCTTGGCTCACTGCAACTTCCACCTCCTGGGTTCAAGGGATTCTCCTGCCTCAGCCTCCCGAGTAGCTGGGACTACAGGTGTGCGCCACCACGCCCGGCTAATTTTTTGTATTTTTAGTAGAGACGGGGTTTCACCATGTTAGCCAGGATGGTCGAGATCTCCTAACCTCATGATCCACCGGCCTCAGCCTCCCAAAGTGCTGGGATTACAGGCATGAGCCACTGCGCCCGGCCTAAATTTGCAGTTTTAAGTTTAAAATTTTTCACAATGTTCTCTCTAAATGAATAAAATAACATTTTTAAAGGAATAAGCAGCATGTTTCACATGCCTGATTTTTTATATGGTAGGTAGCATTATTGCTTCAGTAGAAAACTCTAAATAGACATCTAGTTTATTAGTCTATGCCACAATATTTGTGCTGTAATTTACACTGTAATTGAAAACTTACTTTGAACAAATGTAACGAGTTAGCTTCTCAGAATTGTTTGCAACTGTTTATCCTTGCTCTGAATTTCAGAACTTTTGTACTGAGCTCAGAATTTAAATTTATACCCCTCCCAAATGCCAAATTTGTTTGACTCCTTTTTAGTACCCCTTTAAAGAAATGATGGAGAATCATTTAGTGAGTAAACAGTGTATTTTTAAAACTTAAGATTGACAGCATGGATACAGAATGGATATTTCAGGTAATACTTGTTATTTTCATTATTTTAAAACAATCTTTTATTCATTAATGCTTATGTGCTCTTATTATTTTCCTGATTTTAATGTACTTGAACATAATTCATTCAAAGTAGAGGCCTTTTTACTTTTCATTATTTATCACATTGTAATTTGTAATTTTCTGGTCCTCCAAATGTAGGGGGACCAGATTATCATATATATGTCTGTATATGATGGTTCAAAAAACTTGATTTCAAGTTTAAGAAAAAACTATCATTTAGTTAAAATCCAATGTAGAGGAAGAAATACAAAGATGTTTTTATATGCTGAAGCTAAAAATTTACCAAAACAATTAGTAAGTATAAGTAAGTCTAAGCCTTGTCAAATCTACTCATTTAGATGTTCATCCTGTAGAATAACCCATTAACAGAATGAACACTGTCTACAGTTGTAGAATTCTATTAATATGATCTTATGACTATGACTGATTTTGTCCTATTAGAATTCAACATTTCTTACTGCCATTTAAAAATATATTAATCTAGATAGTGGCCTATTTTATTAATTTTTTTCAAAAAACCAGCTCCTGGATTTATTGATATTTTGAATGGTTTTTCATGTGTGGGTTTCCTTCAGTTCAGCCTTGATTTTTGTTATTTCTCATCTTTTGCTAGTTTTGGAGTTGATTTGTTCCTGCTTCTCTAATTCTTTCAGTTGTGAAGCTAGGTTGTTAATTTGAGATCTTTCTAATTTTTGATGTGTGCATTTAGTACAATAAATTTCCCTTTTAATACTACCTTAGCTGAGTCCCAGAATTTCTGGTTTGTTTATGTTTGTTCTCATTATTTTCAAAGAACTTCTTGATTTCTCCCATAATTTCATTATTTACCCAAAAGTCATTCAGAAGCTTGTGTTTAATTTCCATGTAATTGCTTGGTTTTGGGTGATTTTCATAGTCTTGACTTCTATTTTGATTGTGTTGTGGTCCAAGAGTGTGTTTGGTATGATTTAGTTTTTCTTACATTTTTTGAGAATTGTTTTAATGTCTAATTATGTGGCTAATGTTAGAGTATGTGCCATGTGACAAAGAGAATAATGTATATTCTGTTGTTTTGGGGTGAAGAGTCCTGTAAAGGTTATCAGAGCCATTTGGTCCAATGTTGAGTTTAGGTCCTGAATATCTTTGTTAATTTTCTGCCTCAGTGATCTGCCTAATACTGTCAGAGGAGTGTTGAAGTCTCCCACTGTTATTATTTAGGAGTCCTGTGTAGGTTTCTAAGAACTTGCTTTATGAATCTGGGTTCTCCTGTGTTGGATGCATATATATTTAGGATATTTAGGACTTCTTGTTGAATTGAACCCTTTATCATTATATAATATCCTTCTTTGTCTTTTTTGATCTTTGTTGGTTTGAAATCTGTTTTGTCTGAAATTAGGATTGCAACCTCTTCTTTTTCCTGCTTTCCATTTACTTGGTAGATTTTCCTCCATCCCTTTATTTTGAGCCTATGAGTGTCATTATGTGTGAGATCAGTTTCTTGAAGATAGCATACCATTTTTTTTTAATCCAGCTTGGCACTCTGTGCCGTTTAAGTGGTGCATTTAGCCTGTTTACATTCTAGATAAGTATTGATATGTGAGGATTTGATCCTGTCATTGTGCTGTTAGCTGGCTATTATGTTTGCTTGTGTGGTTGCTTTACAGTGAAACTGGTCTGTGTGTTTAAGTATGTTTTTGTATTAGCTGGTAGTGATCTCTCCTTTCTAGAGTTAGTGCTCCTTTGAAGATGTCTTGTAAGGCACATCTGGTGGTAATAAATTTTCTCAACATTTGCTTATCTGAAAAGGAACTTATTTCTCCTTCACTCAGGAAGCTTAGTTTGGCTAGATATAAAATTCTTGTTTGAAGATGTTTTTCTTTAAAAACTCTCAATAAACTAGGTATTAAAGGAACATACCTCAAAATAATAAGTTTTATCTATGACAAACCCACAGCCAACGTTATACTGAATGGGCAAAAGCTGGAAGCATTCTCCTTGAAAACAGGCACAAACCAAGCATGTCCTCACTTACCACTTCTATTCATCATAGTATTGGAAGTCCTAGCCAGAGCAATCAAGCAAGAGAAAGAAATAAAGGGCATCCAAATAGGAAGAGAGGAAGTCAAACTATCTGTTTGCAAGTTACATGATTTTATATCTAAAAAAGCCCATAATCTTGGCCCAAAATTTCCTCCAGCTGATAAACATCTTCAGCGAAGTCTCAGGATACAAAATCAATGAACAAAAATCACTAGCATTTCTATACACGCAAAATAGCCAAACCAAGAGCCAAATCAGAAAGGCAATCCCATTCACAGTTGCCACAAAAGAATAAAATACCTAGGGATACAGCTAACCAAGGAGTTGAAAGATCTCTACAATGATAATGATAAAATGTTGCTCAAAGAAATCAGGTTAGACATAAACAAATGGAAAAATATCCCATGCTCATTGTTAGAAAGAATCAGTATCATCAAAATGGGTATACTGTCCAAAGCAATTTAGAGGTTTAATGCTATTGCTATCAAATTACCGATGATATTCTTCTCAGAACTAAAAAAAAGAAAAAAAGAAAAAACTACTTTAAATTTCAGATGGAACCAAAAAAGAGCCCAAATGGCCAAGGCAACCCCAAGCAAGAATAAAGCTGGAGGCATCACATTACCCAACTTCAAACTATACTACAAGGCTACAGTAACCAAAACAGCATAGTACTGGTACAAAAACAGGCACACAGATCAATTAAACAGAATAGAGAGCCCAGAAATAAGACCACACATTTACGGTCATCTCATCTTAGACAAAGCTGGCACACACCAAAAAAAGCAATGAGGAAAAGACTCCCTATTCAATAATTGGTGCTGGGATAATTGGCTAGCCATATGCAGAACATTGAAGCTTGACCCCTTCCTTATACCATACACAAAAATCAACTCAAGATAAATTAAAATCTTGAATGTAAAACTCAACCCTATAAAAACCCTGGAAGACAATCTAGGCAATACCATTCTGGACATAAGAATGAGAAAAGATTTCACGATAAAGACACCAAAAGTGATTGCAAAAAGAAGAAAAAATTAACAAGAGGGTTCTAATTAAATTAGAGCTTCTGCACAGCCAAAGAAACTATCAACAGAGTAAAAAACCTACAGAATGGGAGAAAGTATATGCAAACTATGCATCTGACAAAAGTCTAATATCCAGCATCTATAAAGAACTTAAACAAATTTACAAGAGAAAAACAAACAACCTGATTAAAAAGTAGACAAAGGACATGAACAGACACTTCTCAAAACAGACATATATGCAGCCAACAAGCATATGAAAAAAAACCTCAATATCACCGCTCATTAGAGAAATGCAAATCAAAACAACGAGATACCATCTCATACGAGTCAGCATGGCTATTAATAAAAAGTAAAAAAAATAACACATGCTGGCGAGGTTGCAGAGAAAAGGGAACACTTTTACACTATTGGTGGGAGTGTAAATTAATTCAACCATTGTGGAAACTGGTATAGCAATTTGTCAGAGAGCTAAAAGCAGAACTACCATAAGACCCAACAATCCCATTACTGGGTATACACCCAGAGGAGGATAAAGCATTCTACCATAAAGACATATGCATGCAAATGTTCATTGCAGCACTATACTCAAGAGCAAAGACATGGAATGAACCTAAATGCCCATCAATGACAGATTGAATAAAGAAAATGTGGTACTAATACACCATGGAATAATATGCAGCTATGAAAATAATGAGATCATGTCTTTTGGAGTAACATGGATGGAGCTGGAGCCTATTATTCTTAGCAAACTAATGTAGGAACAGAAAACCAAATACCACATGTTCTTACTTATAAATGGGAGCTTTTAAATGATAAGAACTTATGAACACAAAGAAGGAAACAACTGACACTGCTGTCTACTTGGGTGTGGAGGGTGGGAGGTGGGAGAGGAGCAGAAAAGATAGCTATTGGTTACTGGGTTTAATACCTGGGTGATGAAATAATATGTACAGCATACCCCCATGACATGTGTTTGCCTGGGTAATAAACCCTCACGTGTACCCTTAAACCTAAAAGTAAAAAAAAAAATTAATTTAAAAATAAAAATAAAAATTTATTATGAATGTCTTCTTTGTCCTTGGCTCTCCTAACAGTCAATCAAAATTGTGCATCCCTATAAGCATCTCTTATGAAGCTTCTCAGATTCAGAAACATTTATAATGAGTAAATCAAACAATTATCTAACATATTAATAGTTGAATTTGCTTTCTATACTCATGATCTAAAGATTTGATTACTGTGTTAAGTACATAAAATTGAACATTATAAATTAGAAACCGTCAGAAAATAGTCAAAGGAAGAACTGCTGATGCATAAAAAATGAGTAATGAGTAAAAGTGAATGACCTCTGGATGTTGTTAACATCATGCAGAAATAATAACTTATATCTCATGTTTGCCATGGATTATAGTAAGAAAATGTTCTAATGACAAGAAGTATGATGTGCACCTGTATATCTAGTTGGAATTATAATTATGTCCATGCATACTCTTCTGTATATACAATCTCTTTAAATTAAAGGACTAATCAAGAAATATCCATGGGAAAGAAAGGGATAATAATCAGAAATAAATTAAATGAGAGTTACAAGTGTGTAAATGTCAAATTGTGTCATAAAGCCAAAATTTTAGCTTTTATTGTTGTTACTTATTCTTTACTGAATATTCAGAAAAATGTGAGCTGGGCTGACGTTCTGAACAAGCTATTCCAAAGGCTGGAAAATATTTTTTGGGGAGTCAGGCAATATGCAATTATGCTTTGACTAGGTTTATGTGTTACTCAAGAAGTTGGGGTGGTCACTTTCATTGAGAGTTTCTTCATTTTGAGTTTTATTTCTTTAAAAACTAATCTTGACAGAACTGTAGCAATAATAAATATGGATAAATTTAAAAATGTAGACTATGCAAATCATGAATATTTATTTCCTGAAATCCCTGAAAACATTAAGAAACAGAAAAATGTTTTGAGAATAAAGGTCAAAATGCATTATGTACATTATGAATAATAAATAGCCCTTCAAGATTTGGCGCAAACCTACCTCTTTAACTTCATTTAATTGTTCAACTTAATGAACTCCTACTGTGGCATGGAAACTTTTCTAGGTGTTTGAAATACATCGGTGAGGAAGTAGACATGTGTTTTTGCCTTCATAGAATTGACATTCTGATAGGGGAGAAATGTAATTTCTTCTTACTTCTTTGCTTGCCCTGTCAAACTAGTTGCAGCTCCCAGAACATGTCATGTTTCTACTTTCATGCCTTTTTACATACTAACCTATCTGACTCTAATACATTCCTCTACATCATTATCTAAATGGAGAATTTTTGTTTATCTTTTAAAACTTCGACCAAGTATCAGCTTTTCTATATTGCTCTTACTGACGCTGCCACCTTAACAGAGCTGATCACCCACTCCTCTATGCAACTTCTATTAGAGCAACTTTAAGATTGTATTATATTTATTTGTGTAAATGTATGTTTTTCTTGATAAACTGAGAGTTTCTTGAGAACAAGCACTTATAATATTGGTTTTCTCTGAATCTCCAGTACCTGGTATAATATCTAGTATATAGAAAGTGAAAATAAACTTTGAATAAATAAATGACAACAAAACATGGCAGATAATGAACATCAGTTCAAAATGGCTTAATCCCTATCATTTTATCATAAAATGACCTGTTACATAAACAAAAAAATGAAATAAAGCATCCTTTCTATTATTGGCCTAGAGAAAGTTCACAATCTGAAGTACAACTGCAGTATATCTCAAACATTCCCTGAATTCACAAATGTGTAACTGGAATAGCACAAAAGCAAGTGGAAGGAAAAGTTGATTAATTTGTCATTCTTCCTGGAATCCAGATATGGCTTTCTTTAAAATTTCAAAAATCCTCTAATATCTCCTGATCAAAGAAGTATTCCCTGACAATCTGTATTAGCCTGTACTTTCATTGATATAAATAAATATCTGAGACTGTGTAATTTATAAAAATGAGAGGTTTAACTGGCTCATGTTTCTGCAGGCTGTGCCAGAAGCATGGTGTCAGCATCTGTGTGATTTCTGTGGAGCCTTCAATGAGCTTTTATTCATGGTGGAAGGCAAAGCAGGAGCAGGCACCTTATATGGCAAAAGCAGAAGAAACAGAGAGCAGAGGGGGAGGAGCCACACACTTAAACAAGCGAATCTCGTGAGAACTATCTATTGCAAAAACAGAAGCAAGCCATGAGGGATCTGCACTCATGACCCAAATACTTCCCACTTGGCCCCACCTCAAACATTGAAGATCATATTTCAACATGAGACTTGAGTGGGGACAAAGATACAAATAATATCATTCCACTCCTGGCTCCCCAAAATCTCATGTCCTTCTCACATTGCAAAAATACAATATATCTTCCCAACAGTCCCCCAAACTCTTAATTCATTCTAATGTTAACTCAAAATTCCAAAGTCCAAACTCTCATCTGAAATAAAGCAAGTTCCTTCTACCTATGAGGCTATAAAATCAAAAACAAGTTATTGACTTCTAACATACAATGGGTGTATAGGAATTGGGTAAATACCTCCATTCCAAAAAAGGGAAATAAGCAAAAAGAAAGGGGTTACAGGCCCACACAAGTTTAAAACCCAGCAGGGCAGTCATTTAATATTAAAGCTCCAAAATAATCTCCTTTGGCTCCATGTCCCATATCCAGGGCACACTGCTGCAAGGGGTAGTCTCCTAAGGCTTTGGATAGCTACAATCCTGTGGCTTTGAAGGGTTCAGTCCTTAATGCTGCTCTCACAGGGTGTTGAGTGCCTGCTTTTCCAGGAGCAAGATGCAAACCACCAGTGATTCTATCATTCTGGAGTTTGGAGGATGATGGCTCCCTTCTCATAGCTCCACTAGGCAGTGCCCCATTTGGAACTCTGTGTGGGGGCTCCAACCCCACATTTCCCCTCTGCACTGCCCTAGTAGAGGTTTTCTGTGAGCAAACTTCTGCCTGGGCACCCAGGCTTTCTCATACATCCTCTGAAATCTAGGCAAAGGCTGCCAAGCCTCCTTCACTCTTGCATTCTGTGCACCTGTAGGCTTAAAATCACATGTGATATGGTTAGGCTTTGTGTGCCCGCCCAAATCTCATCTTGAATTAAAATCCCCATAATCCCCACGTCACAGAAGAGACCAGGTGGAGGTAATTGAATCATGGGGGCGGTTCCCTCATACTGTTCTCGTGAGAGTGAGTGAGTTCTCACGAGATCTGATTATTTTATAAGTGTTTGGTTGTTCCTCCTGCATTCATTCTCCCTCCTGCCACCTTGTGAAGAAGATGCCTTTCTTCCCCTTCAACTTCCACCATTATTGTAAATTTCCTAAGGCCTCCCCAGTCATGTGGACCTGTGAGTCAATTAAACCTGTTTCCTTTGTAAATTACCCAGTCTTGGGTATTCCTTTATAGCAGTGTGAAAACAAACTAATACAACATGGAAGCTGCCAAGGCTTATGGCATGGACCTTCCTGAGTGAGATATGGGTGGTAACAAATATCCAAACTATATTATAACCCTAGTTAAAAAACTTACCACCCAATCTTATATATATCTCAATTACCTTACTCTAGTTGTTTCTATTTATGTCACTTGTCATCATGTGTAATAACACGTATGTAATTTCTGTTTTTTGTCTCTAGAATATAAACCAAATAGGGGCAAAGAGTTCTTTCTATTTTGGTGACTCCATATTCTCAGTCCCTAAAACATTGCTTGGCAAATAATAAGCACCCATAAAGTCTTTATAGAGAAAGCTATACAAGAAAATATACACCAAGGGGCTAACGGACACTTTGTGTGTGAAAATGTGGCATTCTCTTATGTTCTCCAATAGTCTTGTCTATGTATTATTTGATTTTTCTGTAGTAAACCTTTGTGATTGAATATTTACCAATGTGAATCAAAGAAATTTAATCAGAAGAAATATAATTTTATGATCTGAATTATTTAAACATTTTGATGTTGTACTCTAAATTTTTATTTTCATACAGGTATGCCTTATTCTACCTGTTTAGAAATGTTTAATTTTTAAAATATTTTAAATGTCTCAAATTTTTAGTCCACAACAAAAAGGCATGAGCTGAACCCTGAGGTGTTGGATATTTTAAGCTTCATTCCAAATATCCCAATATCCCAGGTAGCGCAGAGCAAGCAAAAATGGCTAAGAATGAACCAAACCTGAAGAAAACATGAACTAACAAATAAAATGTAGAAAAATAAAAAAAAAGTATAGAAATGATCAAACGTATCTAAACAATTCTACAAATGTCTTATGTTTTGCCAAAGTAACCAATGCACTTTGAAGAGTAAAATCAAAGTTGAACTCTCTAGCAATTTCACTTTGCAAACTCAAAATATAGGTCTCTATACTTTTTGCCAGTTGAACATTATAGACCAGCTTCTTGACTTTTTTTTTTTTTTTTTTTTTGTGACAGAGTCTCCCTCTGTCACCCAGGCTGGAGTGCACTGGCCTGATCTTAGCTCACTGCAACCTCGGCCTCCCAGGTTCAAGCCATTCTCTGTCTCAGCCTCCTGAATAGCTGAGACTACAGACATGTACCACCATGCCTGGCTAATTTTTGTATTTTTAGTAGAGATGGGGTTTCACCAAGGCTGGTCTCGAACTTCCAACCTCAAGTGATCCAACTGCCTTGGCTTCCCAAAGTGCTGGGATTACAGGCATGAGCCACTGCGCTCAGCCGCTTGTTGACTTTTTAACTTAATTGGCCTGTAATCTCCTCATATTCATAGCATATAGTATTGATCTCCTAACTCAATACATTCATATCACAACTTCCTTTTATCTATCAATAATAATAGCTACTGTCTGTTCTCTACATTTTTCTACATACTTGATGTGCATCTTCATATACATAATCTCCTTTAATCTTCATTACAAATTTAAAAATAATGAATTGTACATCAGTAATTCAGATGAGAAGACTACAATCCAGAGAGACTTATTCCTTGATTCAGCAACTACTTGCTGGTTAAGTATTATGTTTCAAGAAAAGTACTAAGTGCTAGTGATACATGAGGGAACAAAACAATATATGGTAAGAAAGCCATTAACCAAGTACTCACTTTACAGATGTTAAAAATTTATGATATTTGCTGAAAGAGAAAACTTTGAGATCCTGTAGTTCCCTGGGTTTTCTTGAGGCAAGCAAGTCAGGATAAGTGTCTGTGAGGAAATAATATAGTCAATATATAGTCCATTAGTCTATATACTGTCTATATAGTCTATATATCGACTATAATATAGTCAATATATAGTCAATATAAGAAGGATGACCAGGCATTAACTAGGCAAAGAGAGAAAGGAATAACAAGCCAGGCAGAAAGTACAGCACATACAAATGCAGAAAGGAACGTGACAATTAAGATCATTGAAAAACTTATAACAGTATTATATACTCGAGACAATACTATGTAGAAGAAGGGAGGGTAAAGGAAGATAAATGAAAGTAAGGTTTCACACTTTATTCAAAGTACTACACTTTGATGTTAGTAAATTAAATCACATGTATGATGAATATTGTAATACCAAGAGCAGCCAGTAGAGAAGCTATACAAAGTGATACTCAAAAGCACTATAAATAAATTAAGAAGAAATCCTGAGAGATATTCACGCAATTCACAGGAAGGCAAGAAAAAACAGAGGAAAGAGAAATAGAAGAAACAAAAAGAAAACAAACAATAAAATGGCAGATTTAAGTATTAACATATTAATAATTATTAAAAAATTAAGTGGTTTAATTTTTTTAAGGTAGTGATAATAAACCACTTAAAATTAAGTTATTTATTAGGAAAAGACTGGAAGAATAGATAAAACAATAGCCTCCTACACAATCCTTTTCCACAGGTAGTTCCTGAAGAAGAGCTTCACCAAATTCAACATGAAAATCTGCCCATTGAATTGAAACAAGCCAGTGTTTATGACTCTGGGAAAACAGAGATTTAAAGCAATTTTGAAATACGCACAACTTTTCACAATTTAATATGGTAAAAACTGGATAAGATGAATGAATGATTTGATAAACAGCATTATTTCTTAATATTAAAAGATAAAAATAAAAAATTACAAAATAAATTATGTAACGATATAAATAATAGATATTGTACGTAAATGGAATGTTAATATTTAGAAAAAGAAACAGTGATTACTATGAGTCAACATCAGTTTAAAAAAAAAACAAAATAGCCAACAGACTACATATATTTTCTTTCTTTTTTAAAAAAATACTTCTTATTGTGTATATTTTAATATACAACATGATATTATGGATACACATATGGAAAGTGAAATGGTTACAATAGTGAAGCAAATTAACATATCTACAATCTCACGTTTACCCTCTGTTTTGCGGCAAGAGCACCTAAAACTTATTTAGTAGAAATCCCATATATAGTATAATTTTATTAACTATAGTTCTCGTGATGTACATTAGATCTCTAGACTTGTTCATCCTAAATATATACTAGTTTGCATTTGCTTTCTTAATAAAAAATAATGTCCTGATTGATTATGGAAATGAGAAAGATATAAGATATGTTGTGATGAGAAAATAAATCACAAAGGTACGTAATAGTCTATACAATGTAGGAAAATGAAGACTGAATGAAATAACCATTATACGAGTCCATAAAATTACACACATCATCCAAAGGGGTTTGATTCATGGATGGATAGACTTGAGGTTTCCCTAGAGTGCCAGACAGTCTTTACCTCCGTTTTATGTTTTCTTCTAATATTTTATCAGTGACTTAGATGATGTCTATGAAGAGACATGGCAAAGACAATTGATAATACTCTGGATTAGAAAATCAAAATTTGAATATATTTTGGGACTTTAATAATATAACATATATGACAGGATTAACTTTTACAAGTAAAAATATAAAGTTCTACAATTGGGTGAGGTAAATACTTATATAGGCTTTGCATAAGAAAGACAGGATACAATAGCAGTGAATTCAAAAACAAAAAACAACCTAAAGGTCATAACTGACTGAAATTGTTACCTGTATGATTGGTTGCCAAAAGAATGTTACCTTGATCTCAGCCTAAAATAATAGATACGTAATGTCTTTAGAAGAATGGATAATTCTGCTCTCCTGGCCAGACATACATATAGTAGGGCATTTAGTTCTAAATATCATGGTTTTAAAGATAGCCTACCATGTGATAGAAATTTTTAATTTACCAGAATTTCTCCTGAAGAGAATAATGTTTGTATTGGAACATAAGTTAACAGGAACTACATTTTTTAGAAAGCAGTTTACCTACTCTTTTTTGTTTGGAATTCCAAACTACTTTTGGTTTATCAAAATATTTCTTGTAAGCAGAGCCAATATTTTTATTCTCTATTTAGCATCTATATCTCAGAATATAGCTTGTACTTGTACAATAGAATAGAAAATAAAAGAAAAAAATAAAAACTAAAATCATTTTAAGTGCAACTAATTCTGAGAGCCTTCAACTTCAATTTATTCAACAAGTATTTTTTTAATTATAAGTATGTGCATAGTAGCATTGTATTTACCTTAGGCAGAAACTGCTAGCTGCTTATCTAATATCTGTTCTCTTCTTTCTTGCTAAGTGAACCCTAATTTTATTCAGGTGGCAGACAATATATACGTTCAAATAGTTTACCTTCTCCTGCTCCTTTGTAGCTATGAGTGCTTTTGTGAAGCAATTGTGATCAATCAGATATAGGCGGAAGCTCCTGGGGAGTGCTTTTATTCACAAATAAAATACCACTGGCTTTAAAGTTAAATGTTTTGGCCATTGCGCTTTTCTGCTTTTCCCTTCTTTCTGCCTGGCACACAGAGATAATGGAGGCACAGCAACTAAATTCTGACCATAAGAAAGACAGCCACATAATAAAGACATTGGGAAAGCATGGAGAAGGAACCTGGGCCCATACTGCATCTTCAAGCAGCCAGATGAGCTGAATTTCCTGATTACAAAGAAAGATAAAGACTTTACTTCTTATGTCATATGATAAGATGTTGTTTTATTTATGGCCAAAAGCAATCCTAAACAGTAAAAAACTGCTCCCTCAACAGTACTTTTCTCTCCTGAATCTGCACTCCTATTTTTAATTAGGAAACTTAAACACTGGAGGAAATATATTCAGCTTTCTTGAATCATCTTTTTCTAATGAGATAACTGAAGTCAGACAGGCGAGAATAGTGTTATTAAATGTCAATCCTTTAGGGGAAAAATGTTGCTAACCGCAAAGGCATACCCAGAACTGTCAGGTGTAAGAGACAGGACAGTCAAAGAGCTCTGCAATTTCAGTTTCTTCTTTTACAAGAAATATACTGTTTCTTACAGCTCTCCATGTGCAAATTTCATCTTTTAGCATTATCTTCATGTAGTGACATAGCATCTGCATGAAAATGCTGAATGTAATCTGTAACAATGCAGAAAGTAAAGTCCAATAAAACAGTTATTAGAAATGCAAACTGAAAATTACAACAAAAGAAAACCTTAAGGGTATATTGGTAAATTTAAAATTTTCAGAGTACTTTAGAAATAAAGCATCAATAACGCAAAACATATTATTTAGAAGCTTTAATTTAATAAAGACAGATATATTTTTCCTATAATTTTCAATCCACTATGAGTGAAAACTATTTTTATTGCATTGAACAAATTTATAAACAGGGAGGTGGGTGAAAAAGAGAAAAAAGATTAGAAATATGATTTTTTAATGTCTTTACATATAGTCACACACATAATCTAAGATTATATGCCAAATATATTATGGGGTGTGTGTGTGAGTGTGTGTGTGTCTGTGTGTGTGTGTGTGTTACATTTACAGGTTTATTGTCAAGGATACGACTGAGGAATAGTTAACTGGAAGAAATGCGAAGGGAAAGGGATGAGGATGTGGGGGTACAGAGCTTCCATACCTTTTCCTGGAATGACTCCTTCCCATTATATCAATGTGTTCACCAACCCAGAATTTTCTTGTTCGAGAGTTTTTATAACCCAATCTCCATCCCTACATTTCCTTGGAGGTTAAGGGGTGAGGCTGAAATTTTCATCCTCTAAGCAAGTTTGGTCTTTCTTGTAATCAGCCCCCATCCTGAGGTGATCTAGGAGACCCATTAGCATAGACTCAAATGTAATCTAAAGGAAATCATTATGAAGAAAGTAACTCATTGCTCTAACTCAGAAAATTCCAAGGGTTTTAGAAGCTGTGTGCCAGAAACTGTTTTATTATACCACAGACCACTTGTTGGTCTTTGACCATGGATCCCTTATAGCAAAAGAATCATAAAATTTGAAAGATACGGTCATATTACTCGATTCCCACTCACTCATTAATAATTAGCCCAGTCAATCATTCTGTTATATGAATATGTCTCCCAGGGTGAGGCCTCTCAGGTTTGTTGGTCTCCATTTGATCTGGCTCGCTTCCACAAGCAGGAATAGTCTCAGAAATACATAACTTTACCCTTTCTGGCATCTGGTATAATTGAGCTAAGAGACTATATCATCTCTTGCACTGAGCCTATTTCAAGACACAAATATAATATTGATTTCACTTATTACATGACTCATTTATTCATTTCTTTATTCTCAGCTGCATCTCTTTCTTCTGTCCATTTATACCCAAACTTTTCCTCCTTTGGAAACAACACTAAGTTCAGCAACTGTATTAGTCCAGATTACAGCCAGCAATACTAGTCTAGCAAATTCCTCCCCTGCAGTTTACAGACATTTAAATAGGGTAGTATTACATAGGCAACTAATGGGCTATCTTGACCACTAAGCAACACAGCAGGATTTACTCTCAATTCCACTGTTGCAGATAAGGTGAATGCACAATCCCCACTATCAGATCCTTGAGAATTCTGACATTAATGTATAAACATACACAGTCATGCAGTTCATGACGCTTCACTCAGCAACTGACCACATTTGCGATGGTGTCCCATAAGATTATAATACTGTATTTTTACTGTACATTTCCCATGTTTAGATATGTTTAGATACACAAATAATTACCATTATGTTACAATTGTCTACAGGATTCAGTGCAGTAACGCGTTGTACAGGTTTGTAGCCTAGAAGCAATAGGCTATATCATATAATCTAGGTGGATAGTAAGCGGTACCATCTAAATTTGTGTATGTACATTCTATAATGTTTGCACAATGACAAAATAGCCTTATAAGACATATCTCAGAAGGTATCCTCATTGTTAAGTGATATATGACGGCAGTTACAGTTTCTTTCTTAGGAATCACCTCTATTTCTAGCACTTTTAGTTGCAACCCTGGACCTGCAACAGGGATGAAAAAGAAAGTTGGTGTGGTATGGGGAAGAAAGAAAAAAAGCATAGCTATCATGCCAACATGTTCGTACCATGGGAAGAAATGTATAGTCACACCAACATTCTTCCCTACCCCATACCCAGAAACAAAACAAAACAAAACAAAACAAAACAAAACAAAACAAAACATAGGAAATTGTCTAGTGGGGACACTCCTTTAGTGCTTCTCATGTTCAGTGTGAGCACATACTTGTGAAGTCATCTAAGCTAGTCCTTCATTCCTACATTTCCCCTCTTGTGTTAGACAACCAGTCTTTGAGTTGCTTCTTCCAATTCTCTATCCAAGTATTACTTCTAGGAGAATCTATCACTGCCCATTGCTAGACTTTATGGACTATAAACTGTGTACCTTGGTTTGAAGAAACGTAACTTGGCAGTCCAGATTTTTGCAATCTATTCTGTTTCAAATCTTTTCTAGTACTGTGTACATTTGCATCTTCAACCAGTCCAGTTCAGGGTGAGCATCTATTCTTCACAGGATTGGTATGTAGTCCCCCATTACTATAGGTATCAGTTTGACTTGCCAGCTATGTTTGAGGCCTTACAGGAAATCTGCCACATACTATCTGTAGTCTCTCTCATTTGTTGACAGACAGAACAGTTCTTATTGGCATTTTGTGCCTCAGTGGATATAAGAGAAATATATCCAGATTCAACCATCTCTGAATTGCTGCAGCCCCCCAACATCCACTCTTTTCATGGACCCCTGTGGCCACTTTAAGCAAGGACACCAGGATATCCACTAGTAGATTCCAATTACCCTTCAAACCCAGAAGAATGTTCTTCTAATGGGAATTGACATGTCTTATCTTAATGCATCCCTCAAAAGCCTTCAGTTTTGTAACACTGGGTATTGGAATTATTCCCCCAGTCAGTCAGAATGTCCATCGTCATAATACATTCAGGTAAAATAGGCACGATTCTTTCACATAAAGATGTTGCAACACTTTAAGAGCAAATGATGTTTTTGCAATTAAGACTTTATTAACAAATTTTGTTTTTGCAATACTAGGTAGGGAAAGTGTTTTCCAGTTAGACATAATATCAATTCCCAAAAAAAACATTCAAGTAAAGGGAGGAACAATCTGTTTAAATGTTTTAACTTTCTTAATTCTCTCACTCCTAACATTTCTATATTCTTTCAATATAATGATTGTCCCTGCTAGAGATTTTCCAATGGGTTTGGTCACACACTACATGCAGTACATGTGGCTCCTGTGTAAAGGAGACCCAGAAATTCATTTTCCTTCCCCAATGAGTAGTTGAGCCAAGAGACTCTGGCCCTTTTGTCAGTTTTTATCATGATTAATCTGACATTTGATTGCACCCATAAACTCCATGTCACATTTCTCATTGTCATCTTTAAAATACGTAAAACACTTTCTGGCGTTTTAAATTTCTCTGACCTGGGCTAAATAGGGTTAACATTTCTGGGGGATCTTTAGTGTTGGGGAACAACAGGGGGTCCTTTGGTCTACCCAATCTACAACAGTGCTGTATTAAGACCTTCATTTCAACTCCATCAATGTCTGTTTTATTTATTCTATTTTAATATCTTAATAACCATCTGTCTTAGTTCACTTGGGCTGGTGCAAAAAATACCTCTGACTAATTTATGGATCATTATTTTTAAATATTTGAAATATAAGTTCACAGGATATATGTGTAGGTTTTTTATGAGCGTGTATTGCATGATGCTGAGGTTTGGGGTCTATTGATCCCCTTACCCTGAGAGTGAACATAGTACCTAGTAGGAAGTTTTTCAGCCCTTCTCCCTACCCCATCTCCCACCATTTGGATTCCCCACTGTCTACTGTCTCCATATTTATGTACATGTGTACCAGATGTTTGGCTCTTACTTATAAGTAAAACATGCAATATATTTTTTTGTTTCTACATTAATTCAATTAGGATAAAGGCATGCAGTAGCATCCATGTTGCTGCAAAGGACATAATTTTATTTATTTTTTTGTAGCTGTATAGTACTCCATGATGTATATTTACCACATTATCTTTATTCAATCCACCATTGATGGGCACCTAGGCTGATTCTATGTCTTTGCTATTGTTAATAGTGCTGTGATGAACATAGGAGAACAGGTGCCTTTTCTGTACAATGATTTTTTTTCCCCATTGGTTATTTACTGATATGGTTTGTCTCTATGTTCCCACCCGAATCTCATGTTGAATTGTAAATCCCAGTGTTGGGGGAGGTACCTGGTGGGAGGTGATTGGATTATGGCGGCGGATTTCCCTCTTGCTGTTCTCAGGATAGTGAGTGAGTTCTCGCAAAATCTAGTTGTTTAAAAGTGTGCAGCATTTCCCCCTTCACTCTCTCTCTCCTGCTGTGCCATGGTAAGATGTTCTTGCTTTTCCTTTGCCTTCTACCGTGATTTTGAGTTTCCTGAAGCCTTCCAGCCATGCTTCCTGTATAGCCTGTGGAACTGTGAGTCAATTAAACCTCTTTTCTTCATAGATTACCCAGTCTCAGGTAGTTCTTAATAGCAGTTTGAGAACGGACTAATACATATAACCAGTAATAGGATTGCTGGGTAAAATGATACTTTTTTTTTTTTTTTTTTGAGACGGAGTCTCACTCTGTTGCCAGGCTGGAGTGCAGTGGTGTGATCTCGGCTCACTGCAACCTCCGCCTCCCGGGTTCAAGCAATTCTCCTGCCTTAGCCTCTAGAGTACCCGGGACTACAGGCGAGCGCCACCACGCCCAGCTAATTTTTGTACTTTTAGTAGAGTCGGGGTTTCACCATGTTGGCCAGAATGGTCTCGATCTCTTGACCTCATGATCCGCCTGCCTCGGCCTCCCAAAGTGCTGGGATTACAGGCGTGAGCTACCGTGCCCGGCCCAAATGATACTTTTGGTTTTGGTTTGTTGAAAAATCTCAAAACTGCTTTCCACAGGGGCTGAACTAATTTACAATCCCACCAACAGTGTATAAGCATTTTATTTTTTCCACAGCTTCAACAACATCTTTCATTTTTTGACTTTTTAAATAATAAAAGTAATGGCAAAAACCACAATTACTTTTTCACCAACCTAATAATAGCCATTCTGACTGGTGTGAGATTGTATCTCATTGTGATTTTATTTTGCATTTATCTGATAGTGATGTTTAGCTTTTGGTTCATGTATTTGTTGGAAAATTATATTTCTTCTTTTCAGAAGTGTCTGTTCATGTCCTTTACCCACTTCTAAATAGGGTTATTTGTTTTTTGCTTTTTAAGTTCCTTATAGATTCTGCATATTAGTCCTTTGTCAGATGCATAGTTTGTAAATATTTTCTCCCATTCTTTAGGTTATCTGTTTACTCTGTTGATAGTTTCTTTTGCTGTGCAAAAGTTCTGTAATTTAATTAGGTCCCAATTGTTCATTTTTTTTTGTATGCTTTCTTTTGCGTACTTAGTCATAAATTCTTTGCCTAGGCCAATATCAAGAAGAGTATATCCTAGGTTTTCTTCTAGGATTTCCCCTGTTGGAGGTCTTGCATTCAAGTCTTTAATCTATTTTAAGTTAATTTTTGTATATGATGAGAGATAGGGGGTCCATCTTCATTCTTCTACAAATGGTTAGCCAATTTTCCCAGCACCATTTATTAAATAGGGAGTCCTTTCCCCAATGCTTTTTTGTTTGTTTATGAAATTTCACAAAGATCAGATGGTTGTAGATGTGTGGCTTTATTTCTGGGTCTTCTATTCTGTTCCATTTATCTATGTGTTTGTTTTTTCTACCAGCACCATGCTGTTTTAGCCTTGTAGTATACTTTGAAGATGGGTAATGCAATGTCTCTGGCTTTCTTCTTTTTGTTTAGGATTGCTTTGGTTATTTGGGCTCTTTCTTGGTTGCACATGAATTTTATAATAACTTTTCTAATTCTGTGAAAAATTAAATTGGTCATTTAATAGGAATAGCATTGAATCTGTAGATTGGTTTGGGCAATATGGCCATTTTAATAATATTGATTCTTCCAAACTATGAGCATAGTGTGTTTTTCCATTTGTTTGTGACATCTATAATTTATTTAATCAGTGTTTTGTAGTTTCCTTGTAGAGATCTTTCACCTTCTTGGTTAGTCATATTCCTAGATATTTTCTTTCTTATGGCTGTTGTAAATGAGATTGCATTCTTGATTTTATTCTCAGCTTGAACTGCTAGAGAAATGCTACTTATTTTCTTGGTAGCAAATCATAGAAATGCTAGTTATTTTTGTACATTGATTTTTGTATCCAGAAATTTTACTGAAGTCATTTATCAGTTGTAGAAGCTTTTTTGTGGAGTCTTTAGGATTTTCAAGCTATAGAATTATATTATCAGTGAAGAGAGAAAATTTGACTTTCTCTTTGCCTATTTGAATGCCTTTTCTCCCTTTGTCTTGCCCAGTTGCTCTGGCTAGGACTTCCAGTGTTATGTTGAATAGGAATGCCGAGAGTGGACATGCTTGCTTTGTTCCAGTTCTTAGGGGGAATGCTTTCAGCTTTTGCTCATTTAATATGATCATGGCTTTTGAGCTGTCACTGATAGCTCTTATTATTTTGAGGAATGTTCCTTCCATGCCCATTTTGGGGAGGGTTTTTGTCATGAAGAAATTTTGGATTGTACTGAATGCTTTTTCCACATCTATTGAGATAATTATTTGGTTTATATTTTAAATTCTGTTTTTGTGGTGAAACACATTTATTGATTTGCATATGTTGAACCAACCTTGCATCCCAGGAATAAAGTCTAATTGACTGTGTTGAATTTACTTTTTGATGTGCTGCTGAATTCAGTTTCCTAGCATTTCATTGAGGATTTTTGCTTCTATGTTCATCAGGAATGTTGGCCTATAGTTATCCTTTTTCATTCTGCTTTTGCCATATTTTGGCATCAGGATGATACTGGTTTTGTAGAATGAGTTAGGGAAAGATCCTTCCTCCTCATCTTCTGGGTAATAGTTTTAGTAGGATTGGCACCGGTTCTTGATGAACTTTGTAGAATCTGGATGTGAATCAAACTGGTTCAATGATTTTTTTGGTAGGCAAGTTTTTTATTACAGTTTTTTTTTAATTAATAAGTATTGGTCTGTTTAGTATTTCCATTTCTTACTGGTTAAATCTTGGGAGGTTGTGTTTTTCTAGGAATTTACCAGTTTCCTATAGATTTTCCAGTTTATGCACATAGAGGTGTTGATTATAGCCTCTGAGAATATTTTGTATTTCTGTGGGATCAGTTGTAATGTCACCTTTGTCATTTCCAATTGTGCTTATTTGGATCTTCTCTCTTATTTTGTTAATCTACCTAGTAGTCTATCAGTCTTACTTATCCTTTAAAGAACCAATTTTTAATTTTGTTGATCTTTTTTGTGTTTTTTTTTGGGGATTTCAGTTCCCTTTATTTCTCCTCTGATTTTAGTTATTTATTTTCTTCTGCTAGCTTTGGGTTTTGTTTTTTCTTGTTTTTCTAGTTCCTTTAGGTGTGAAGTTAAAATGTTAATTTAAAGTCTTTCTACCTGCTCGATGTACCCATTTAATGCTATAACATTTATTCATAACACTATTTTCCCACATTCCAGAGATTTTGGTATGTTGCCTTTGTTTCCATTTGTTTCAAATTTTTTTTTTTTTTGGCTTAATTTTCTTGTTTACCCAAAAGTCATTAAGGTGCAAATTGTTTAGTTTCCATATAATCTTGTGATTTTGAGAGGTCCTCTTGGTGTTTATTTATATTTTTATTCCATCGTGGTCCAAGAATATGCTTGGTATAATTTTGATATTTTTGAATTTATTGAGACTGTCTTCATGACTATGTAGTCAATCTGAGAGTCTATTCTGCATGCAGGGAAGAAGAATGTATATGCTGTGGTTTTGAGGTGGAGTATTCTGTAGACATCTACTAGGTCCAATTAATTAAGCATCAAATTTAAATCTAGAGTTTATTTGTAGATTTTTGCCTTGATGAACTGTGTAATGGTATCACTGGGGTGTTGAAGTCCCCCACTATCATTGTGTGGGTGTCCACACATTATTTCCTAGGTCTAGAAGTAATTGTTTTATGAATCTGGGTGCTCCAATGTCAGGTACATATATATTTAGGATAGTTAAATCTTCTTTTTGAGTTGAACCCTTTATCATTATGTAAAGCTGTTCTTTTGTCCTTTTATACTGTTGTTGGTTTAAAATATGTTTTATCTGATATCAGAATAATGACCCCTGCATTTTTGTTTTCCATTTGCATGACAGATCTTTTTATACTCCTTTACTTTGAGCCTACAAGTGTCATTAGATGTGAGATGGGTCTCTTTAAAACAGCAGAAAGATGAAGATTTTTAAAAAAAATCCAATTTGCCACTCTATGTCTTTTAAGTGGAGCATTTAGGCTGTTAACATTCAAGGTTAATATTGATATGCAAGGATTTGTTCCTGTCATAGTGTCATTAGCTAAGTACTTCATATTCTTAAGTGTGTAGTTGCTTTATAGGGTCCGTAGGCTATCTGCTTATGTATGTTATGTGTGCTTTCAGAGGGCTCTGTTGAAATTCCTTGGTTGCAAATTGCTTCATAAGTATTGTTCTTTTGGTTTTATATTTAGAATTTCCTTAAGCATTTCTCATACAGCTGGTCTGGTGATAACACATTTCTACAGCAATTGCTTGTCTAGAATAGATTTTATTTCTCTTTCATTTGCGAAGCTTAGTTTGACAGGATACGAAATTCTTGGCTGGCATTTCTTTAAGAATGTTAAATATGGGATCCCAATCTCTTCTGGCTTGTAAGATTTCTGCTGAGAAGTCAATTGTTAGTCTAATCAGTTTCCCTTTGTAGATAATATAAACCCTTTCTCTAGCTGCCTTTAGGATTTTTTTCTTTCACGTTGATTTTGGATAGTCTGATGACTATGTTCTTTGGGGATGGTCATCCTGTATAGTATCTCACAGGAGTTCTCTGAATTTCTTCTATCTGCACGTGGACCTCTCTATCAAGATTGGGCATTTTGCATGAATTATATCTTCAAATATGTTTTCCAAGTTGCTTACTGTCTCCTCTCTCTAGAATGCCAATAAGTCATAAATTTGATTGCTTTACATAATCCCATAATTTTCAAAGTCTTTGTTCATTTTTAATTCTTTTTTTTTAAATTGTTTTCTGAATGGCTTGATTTGAAGGACTGGTCTTAGAGCTCTGAAATTCTTTTTTCTTCTCGGTCAAGTCTGTTGTTAAGTCTTCCAACTGTATTTTGAAATTCCTGTAGTAAATTTTTCAACTCCAGAAGTTCCACTTAGCTCTTTCTCAATACAGCTATGCCGTCTTTCAAATCCTGTTTTCTTTGTGTTGGATTTCAAATTTCTCTTGGATCTCATTGAGTTTTTTTTTTTTTTTTTTTTTTTTTTTTTTTTTTTTTTTTGCTATCTGTATTCTGCATTCTATATCTATAATTTCAGACATTTCACTCTGGTTAACATTCGTTGCTAGGAGTTAGTATGATCCTTTGGAGGTGACGAAGACTGACTTTTTTGTGTTTCCAGTGTTCTTGCACTGGCTCCTTCTTATCTGAAGGAGATGATACTTCTTTATAAAATTTAATATCATTTAGATGGGTCTATTTGATTTTTTATTGTTTTTCCTTGATGGTATGACTGTGGTGTATGTTCTACATAATTGATTGGCTTCATTACTGGGTACTTGCAGAGGTCAAGGGCTCTGTACAGGCTCCTTGGTTGCAGATTGCTTCATAAAGTGACTTTCTCAGACATTGCTTAGTGTAGCAATGTATTCTCCTTTGGAGTTATAATTTGGCCTGCAGTCCAGTAGGTAGTGCTTAAGAGTTAGGGTCAGCAGAAGCTCTTATTCTGTGTTTACTCACTTTCAGTGGAGGGGGAGGTAACAGAGAAGTGCAAGAAGTGCTCTTCTTCCGTGTACTAGTCTTTGGTGGGGAAGGAGCCACCAGAGGGACCCAATTAGCACCTCTTTCAGCCCATGCTCCCTGGGGCTCTGTAGGAAGAGCCGGTGACGTGTCTGCAGCAGTGTACTGGGCAGAAGGGGTGGAGGGCCAGAGATGACCCCATCTATAAGTCCATTCCAAGGCTGTAATGTTGCCTAATTCAGCAGTTGGCACCATATCCCATGTTTCCTTTTATCCAAGGGGGTCTTTGGTGAGCTGCACTCCCTGCTGTTTGAGAGGTGGTCCATGTCAAAGGTTAAATCTCCAGGGGAGAGGGGACCACCTCCGTTCTTCTCTGAACTGTTGGGGCACTCTTTCTTTACTGACCAAGGGAGCAGCCTGGGGCACCTAGTAATGGCCAGTGCAGACATTTCCTAGGTTGTAAAGCTGTCCCTGATTGGAAGTCATGCCATCCAGGATAAATATCATCTCTGCAGCTCTCCTCCTGCACCAGTTCTGGGATGGGAGAGAGCCTAATTCCAGCTGTTACTGCTGGGGTGCTCTCCTTGTTTACTATTCTATTCTGACTGCAGGGGCCCTTCTGCTCTAGAGCAGCACTCCAATCTCTAGCCTAAATGTCTCCAGTGGCTGCTATTGCCAGGTTGCTAAACAACGACTGATGTTTTGTGATCCCAGATTTAAAATGACATCCTTCTTTCAGTCCCAGGTCTGGGAAAATGCCTGCAATTATTTCTGGTGTCTTTTCTCTCTCTGTCTGTTATCATCTCCCCAAGCTAGCTCTCAGGCTTGAGCGAAACAGGGCACTCTTCGTTGGCCTGAGTTGCACAGATCATTAGCCAAAACGTGAGACACAGAGGAAGATTGGCTTCCCCTTTAAGTACTGGGGCTTTCACTCACTTTATCAGCTGAACCCTGTCACAATGGTTGGTTGCCCACCTTCTCCTTTCTGGGGTCTGGAGATTTTTTTTTTGCTATTCTGGTGAATTCTTATTTTCTTTCTTGAATTAAAGCTCACAGTGTTTATCTTTGCATATAATTTTGCTATTTCCAAATGTCTGAGAGGCATGCTGAAAGCCTCTAATTTACTATCTTGGGAAAAAAAGTAATTTATAAACAACACAAACTTATTGTTCATAATTCTGAAGACTGCAAAATCCAAGATCAAGGTGCCAGGAGATTCAGTGTTATTTTAAGGGCCTGTTCCTTATACGCGGCAACTTCTATGTGTCATCATATGGCAAAAGAAATGAACAAGGTATCTCAGGCCTCTTTTACAAGGGGAGTAATGTTATTCATAAAGGTGGAGCCCTCATGGACTGAAATGTCCCACCTCTTAATACCACGACATTAAAGATTAGGTTTCAACATATGAATTTTGAAGGGGAACATACATTCACACCATAGCACCATCTAAACATTTTCACCCTGATGGCTGAGTCCCTTGACTCTCTATTTTTTTCCTCTTTGTTTTGCCCCCCTCAACGTTACTTCTATTCGTGCTGTTTCTTAACAAGCATTTAAAAATTTCAAGCCTGCTAGGATGAATCCCTTGACTCTCCTTGCTGCTTTCCTCCATTCTCTTGTTAATTAATCTAGTGCTTTATTAGCTTCTATAAGACCCATGGGGGAAGCTGAGACAGAAAATTTGGTAAGACTTTTCAGACTAGATTGCTCAGTTTTTCAGCAGTAAGATTCCATGGAGTACTCATGCAAAAGAGGCCTTCTTAACCACAGCATTTACCATTACCGGGTAATGGTCATATTTAATAAGTGAATATTCCAGTCATCACAAAGCCAGCCTCTCATGGCTGAATCATAAGTGCACCTGATTCTTTATCTTGGGTGTTCCACTTGGCATTGTAGGAAGAATCTGACAATCCTCATCCTATGATCTGAATGCTTAAGTACATCTAAAATTCATATGTTAAAACCTAACCCTCAATGTGGTGGTATTAAGAGGTGGTAACTTTGGAGGTGATTAGGTAATGAGGGTTCTACCTTCATAAATGACATGAATGCCCTTATGAAGAGTCCTGAGGGAGCTTGTTCATCCCATCTGCCATGTGAGAACACATAGAAGGCACCATCTATAAAAAACAGGCTCTCATTAGACACCAGATCTTCTGGTGCCTTGACTTGAATTTCCCAGCCTCCAGACTGTGGTGAATAAGTTTGTGTTGTTTATAAATTACCTAGGCTGAGATACTTTGTCATAGCAGCTCCAACTGACTAAGGCTTCCCCTTTTCAGGATAGACTTCAAAGTGGCTTTTCTGCACTTCACCAGGCTGGCTGTTCCCAAAGGAATAACTTGTTGTGTGTCTGGATCAGGTACAGATGCTCCTCAAGTAACAGTGAGGTAATTTTCCAATAAACCCATTGTAGGTAGAAAATATTATAAGTTGTAAATGAATTTATTATAGATATCCTACAGAATATTATAGCATACTCTAGCCTAGCTTAAATGTGTTCAGAACACTTACATTAGCCTACAGCTGGGCAAAATAATATAACACAAAGACTATTTTATAATGAAGTACTGAATATATCATGTGGTTTATTGGATACTGTACTGAAAGTATACAGAATGTTTCTGTGAGGACTTGAAGTGCGGTTTTCACTGAATTTGTATTATTTTTGCACCACCTAAGTCAAACTATTATAAGCTAGGGACTACCTGTTTAGCCATCTGTGATTGTTCCATGTTGAGTTTTAGGTACTATATCAACCCAAATATGCTACTCTACTCTGCAGCGTTCAGAACCAGAAACTGACTCTAAGCTACTCACTTTCACAATCCATTTAATAAAGATTGTATAGGAAGCTGATTAAGCTGATTTACATGAGACGATTTCTTCACACTATATTCCTTGGTTACAGTAGTTTCTCATATTTTTTTCCTCCTCCCACATGGACTACCTTTTTGTTTAGCAGAGGCCTTACAGGTACATTATGTTGTCCCTGCATTTTTTTTTTTCCTTTGGAGAAGATTTGAAGCTAGTGATCAAAGCTCAGAAAAACAAAAATTTTAGCTTGGCCGAGCATCTAAGCCCAAACCAGCACTCTCTTCATTTCATTTTAGCTAATAATTATAACAATAACCAAGGGATGATATATTTTTATGAGTTGCATTTTTTATGGCTTCCGTGAACCAACTCACCAGGAGTTGGATCCATCTTTACTTATTTTTTGAGAGATGGGAATTCACTCTTGTTGTCTAGGCTGAAGTGCGATAGTGCGACCTTGGCTCACTGCAACCTCCACCTCCCAGGTTCAAGCGATTCTCCTGCCTCAGCCTCCCAAGTAGCTGGGATTACAGGTGCACACCACCATGCCCAGCACATTTTTGTATTTGTAGTAGACACTGGGTTTCACCATGTTGGCCAGGCTGGTCTCAAACTCCTGACCTCACGTGATCCACCCGCCTCAACCTCCCAAAGTGCTGAGATTACAGGCATGAGCCACCGTGCCTGGCTGATCCATCTTTAAATTCTATCAAGAATTTTTAACTTTAGGAACTGATTTCAACACAATTATCATTTCATACTATGGATATACACTTAGCCACAAAGGAATTAAAGGTTTCTCATACCTTGCCCTTTTATCCTTTTCTATTTTTCCAAACCAAATGTTTCTGTGATCCAGAGCCTTTACAGTTAAACACACATTTCTGAAAACAACTCTAAGCTTCTTTCTGACACTACTTCTGACAGCAAATGCGTGGGGAATTTTCTCACCAATTTTTCAACACTCTGACACCCACTAGGGGTTCAAAAATTTAACTCAATTCTGACACCAACTGTTCATAGTTATCACAGACCCCACAGGTTAAGAGCTCAGTCCAACATGACTTCCCACATTTTAGATGCCAGTCACAAGGTTTAGGGACCACCCATATTGACCAGCTATAAAATCAGGGTTTCCTACAACCTCCTTCCCAGGATTGATAGTGGAATGACTCACAGAATGCAGGAAAACACTTTACTTATTTTCACCAGTTTAGCATAAAGGATACAACTCAAAAACAGCCACATGTAAGATAGGCATAGGGTAAAGTATGAGAGGAGAGTGTGGCATAGAACTTCCCTACCTTCTCCAGGTGCATCGTCTTCCCAACATATCAACGTGTTTACTAACAAAAAGCTCCTTGTATATATATTTTGAAAAGAAAATGGCAATATTATAGAAAATAGGAATAGCATGCTTAACAAGTACATTAAATATTTACCCAATCAAAGCAAAGTAGAACTTCAAGAAATATCTGGGTAATTGAAAGCAAATAGGAAAAGAGAAGCACATTTTGCTTCAATTATCTGCATGTTTCATATAAATACATGAAACATGTAAATGTTTACGGTGTCTATCTATCTACATCTGCACTTATATTTAGCTAGTTAACAGGTTTTAAGTTCTACATCTTGATTTTCTTATAAAAACATAAAAAAGTAATTTTCTATAAAAATGTATTTCATGATATTTTGACATCAATATTAAAAATGAACAGAATTTTTTTATTCCTAAACTGCTCGGCATAAAAAAAATGAACAAGATAAGCATGAAAGTTTATTCTTGATGACAGAAACTTCAGAAACACACTCTTTAAGATATTTTTGTTGATTAACTTAAAATTATAAAAATAAACTTTTAACAAAGACATTTCATTTATTTTAAAATTATTCAGGGAATTGCCATGTTGAATAATGTGTTATTAAAACAGAAATCACAAAATTACAGCAAATACTGCTCTGTTGAGTAAATTTAACATAGTAATTATTTACAGCTATTAACTATAAATCAATTTTCTTGGACTTGCCATCTATAGAATGTTGCCAAATCAAGCCTTAGTCATTAATAAAATGTGTTTCAGTTTGCTTGTTTATTTACAAATGTATATTTTAATTTTTATTGTAACACCAAAAATTCCTACCTAGTTAGCCCTGAAGATTATTAGTCTGAAGTTCACAACAGGTGGAATTAATATTAATTATCAGTAGGATTCTATAAATTCATCGTTGTACAAAAACATATTGGACTAAAAAGCTAAGATAACAGGCCCTTAATTTCAAATTGGTAAATAATGAAGGGTATTTGATCATCATTTCTAACAGAATTAATACTAATTAACAACAACAATGGTAGTTTAATTGGAATAGTAATTCTGTTTAATTGAGATGGCTGCCAGTGAGCAAAAGGTACTCAAAAAGAAATATCCCAACTTGGTTTAAAGGATAATTATACTTCGTCTCCCCTCTAAACACTTCTCTGAAGCTACTGCTTACTTAGATTCATAAAGCGTTTAAACCCGCCCATCTGCCCCTTTTGGTATAATGGAATACAGCTTAAAAGCCTATTAATTGGCATCTTTTCCAACTTTTTAATGATTGTTCTTTTTTAGTGAGGCTGCTGAAGAGACCAACTTTGGAAAACTATGATTCTACCAACATAAAAAGTGTTCCTTTTTTTCTTTCTTTCTTTCTTTTTCTTTCTTTCCTCTTTCTTTCTTTCTTTCTTTCTTTCTTTCTTTCTTTCTTTCTTTCTTTCTTTCTTTCTTTCTTTTTCTTTCTTTCCTTCCTTCCTTCCTCTCTCCTTTCTTTCTTTCTTTCTTTCTTTCTTTCTTTCTTTCTTTCTTTCTTTCTTCTTTCTTTCTCTCTCTCTCTTTCTTTCTTTTTCTTTCCTTCCTTCTTCTTTCTTTCTTTCCTTCTTTCTTCTTTCTTTTTTTTTGTGTCAGGATCTGGAAGCTAATACAAACCAGCACAAAAAATTCTTAAAGCAGCACTTATAAATGTTAACTCACCTGAAAGTATCAAGCAAGAAAATAAGAGGGACAGGAAAAAAACAATTAAAGATCAATACAAAGACATATAAAGTCCAGTACTTGATTATGACATAAAGACTAAACGTGGAACAATAATTCAGGAACAAAAAAAGTCATTATGGTATGTGGAAAATTCAATGAAAGCATATTTTAGAGAATTTAGATTAAAAGTAGAGAATGGATTGGAGTAGAGAGAGAGTGGGGTGAGGGAGATAGTGAGAATGCTAAGATTAAGTAGACTAGGCCAGAGACAGTGAAAGTCTGAATAAACTAGAGCCCTCTCCAGAGCAACAACAACAAACAAAAATACTAAGATGTGAGGTGATGAGGACCTGTATGGCACTGGTTATGTGAAACACTTTCAGACATCAGAGCCAGGATTTAAGAAACATATATTGGCTGAAATTTCTGAGATTTTTACCAGTCATATATAGGCTCTAAGACTACCCATCAGAGTTATTCCTTAACTCAGGACCAAAATTTCCATAAGGAGGATTTAATCTTAAAATAAAATATATCTCTTAAATACTCTGGTTTGTAGTCACTCAGTCCCTGACCTTTATTAGCACTGCTTTTTTTTCTTTTCCCCACAGCCAGCTCTGTATAAACATTAAGGGGTTACAGTTCCATACTCTTTGATTACAGTTCATGTTTCTACTCTGGACTATAAAAGAAAAAATTCCACAATGAGCTTAGTCATCAAAATCCCAAGGAATGTTTTATATTGTCTTTTGACTTTGATAAATCCTACTCATTAAAAAATAATTTTAAGATAAAATAAAATAATTGGAAGTTAACTATTAGTTTGAAAAATGTTGAATGGAGAAAGGGAAATTGTGACTTTTTGTGTTGATTTTGCAATTTGGTACTAAATTCCTGGCATCTTATACAAAGTTTACATTTAAAAATGAAACACAAAGATTCCAGTAGTAGCTTACGGAGACCATATGAAGAAGGCTTTACAATGTTCTTACAATGTAGAATTTCAATGATCAATTTGAGTACAATTCTATTTGTAGCCTGGGATGAGACTATTTAATTGTTATTACAATGTCAACAGAATCTTAGAGCTATTGCACGATGATATTGTAATGTGAGAATATAAATTTGGGCAAAATAGTTTTAAGAGTAAAATTACAGCTACGTAATTGTTGTATTACCACTATTTGAAAGTATTTTATAATGGTAAAACAATTTCATTGGAATTTTACAGAGGTTATTTGTACTGAAAGACTAAATGAAATGCTGTCAAGATGAGTTATTCTGCCAGGAAGAAATTAAACAAAAATAACTTACATTCAAACACCATTGTGCTTAAGGCATAAACCTATCAAGGCAAGGAAATTTAGGGATTTGTACTACAACAATATAGTAATGCCCTCTTGTCACTAAGCAATATTCACCAAATAGTTTCTCTCTGAGAATGTACTGTACCAGTAAGTAATGTTACATTAGAGGGAAAGTGGTTATTACAATGTTAACTAAACAGAAACATGAATATAAATATTTTTGGCACCACTTAAAAAGAGTAAGTTCTAGTTCAACACTGGACAAAATTCAATTTATTCATTCTATTAAGATTCTTTTATGAAATTACATAATGTAAAAGCAATAAAGTAGCTCCTTGAACTTGAGGTTGTATATTAACTTGGACTGTCCACATGTTTGTGGGTTTATTTGTTAACTGTATGTACTTTTTTTAATCAGCAAGAAGATATACATTTTAACCAAGCTGACAAGATTCATATTAATATAGGTAAAGAAGGAAATTTATTCAAATGAAAGGTAAAGGAAAAAATAGGTTTCTAATTCTCAAGAATTAGACTATCCTGCATCCAGGTATGCTTATGTAGAATGTTCTCAGGAGATGACAACCATACCTAAAGTTGCTTCACCTCCTCTAAATTGCTATAAAAAAATTAATGTTTTGAAGAGGAAAAAAATGTCCTGCTTTGCAATCAATCATGAGGATGAATTTTATTTTTCTAAATTTATCAACAAAAACTATATATATATAGTTTTCATAGATTTGTGATAAATTTAGAAAAATAAAATTATACGTGGCCCAGTTCATTAATAAGAAATGAATTAACATCATAGAATAATATGCATTTGAATTTGATCAAAGGTCAGGCAAAATTTCTTTCAGTAAAAAAACAATGTGAAGAAGAATTCAAATTGTCATTTGTTCTATAATTTTCTAAAAGCTGTTTTATTTTCCTACAAAAGTTCAGTCTAGGTTTCAGCACATTTTTCGTATTTATATTGTGCTTCAACAATATTTTATTTTGAAAGGTATGGCTGATCTTCCACTTTTTTTTTCCTTGAATGTGAAAGAAAATATGTTGTCTCTTTACAGAAATCAAATACTTGATAAAAATTCTGTCACCTTGAGAATGACATTAAACAATTTTTTCTGTTTCCTAAGATGAAGGCCTATATAGGGGCAAAAAGAAAATTGTGTGAATTTCTCTTAATTTTGCTGAAAGATATATTTTACTTTTTTCTGCTGTGCACTTCCAAATTTCATGATCTGATGTGTGAAAATAAGCAGACCCCTGAGTCTGGCACTAAGGAACGAATGAGAAGAAACACTAGGGATAAAACAATATGCTCTAATAAAATTTTTCTGTCCTTGAATTTTCTAATGACATAGTTATCAAAAGGTTCTATTCTTGCATTTTTACGCTGTTTAATTGAGGTATAATTGGCATATAAAAAGCTGAAGATATTTAGCATATACAACTTTACAAGTGATATTTATACTCTTATGCTTCTATGTTGATGTTTAACGTCTTTTCATTTCAACTCAAAGAACTCCTGTCAGCATTTCTTGTAAGGTAGGTCTAGTGGTGATGATTTCCTTTGAGTTTTGTTGTTTGGGAAAGTTTTTGTCTCCCATTCATTTTTAAAGAACAGATTTGCCAGGTATTCTTGGGTGGCCGTTTTTTGTCTTCTATTTTTCTTTTAGTACCTTTGACTATATCATCCTACTCACTACTGGCTTGCACTGTCTCTGCTGAGAAATCCCCTGATATTTTATATGGCTTCCCTTGTACGTGGCAAGTTGCTTTTCTCTTGCTGCTTTCAAAATTCTTATTGTCTTTGACTTTTGACAATGCTATTATAATGTGTCTTGGTGTACACTACCTTAGGTTCAAACAATTTTGGGGCTTTTTGGCTTCATATATCTGGATGTCCATTTCACTCCCAAGATTTGGAAAATGTTCATCCATTATTTCTTTAAATAAGCTTTCTACTTCTTTCTTTCCCTCTTCTTCTACTGGAACTCTTACAATGCATATATTAGCTAACTTGATGGCGTCCCATATATCCCATAAGCTTTCTTCACTCTTTCTCATTCTTTTTGTTGTTGTTGTTGTTTCTTAAACTGGATAATTTCAAATAATCTGTTGTCAAGTTTACTGATTCTTTCTTCTGCTTGATCAAGTCTACTATTGAAGCTGGAGCTGGATAATGGGCTGCTTCTGGGGTCGCCAGTTGGGTCAATGATTGGCAGGCCTATAACTGGGAATGCAGACAGGCATGGCTCCCCACAGGTCCCTGGCAGGTGTGACTGCCACTAGGACCATGATCAAGTCGGGCTGGAGGTGGGTCATGTGGCTGCTTCTGGGTCCATGGTTTGCAGGCCTATTGCCAAATGTAAAGATGGATATGACTCCTCCTAGGTCCCTGGGTGGACACAACTTGCTTTTCAGGACCATGGCTGAGTGGGGCTAGAGCTGGATTACAGGGCTGCTTCTTCATCCTCAGTGTGATCCACAGTAAATGAGTCTGTTACCAGGGTCATGGCTGGGTATGGTTGCTGTTTAGTTGGTAGGCAGGTGAGGCTGTTGGCAGGGCTGTGGATGAGTAGGGCTGGAACTGAGTCTACAGGGAGATGAGGTTGCTTCTTGGTTTGCAACTAGGTCTGTAATTAGCCAGTTTGCTACTGGGGGGCACTGGCTTCCCTTCGCAAAGCAGCTTTTCTTAGTCTTGGGCTCCACTGGAGTGTCTCAACCTACTACTGAAGCAGCATCATTGTTTGGGGTAAATACCTGAGGTTCATTGTCTTGCACCAAGAAGATTAAGGACATGGACACACACAAGGAATGAGTTTAGGAGTGGAGGTTTAAAAGGCAAAATAAAGAGAAAAGAGAACAGCTCTCTCTCTTGTGAGTGAGAGGGGCACCCAAATGGGAAGTCGGTCCTGTGGCAGAGTGCACCAGATTTTAGAGACAGATTTGAGGAGATGGTGTCTGATTTACGTAGGGCCAACAGATTGGTTGGACCAGGTGTGACATTTACATAGCACTCCAGTAAAGGGGGCCACCCCACCATAATCTTATTATGCAAATGGACTTTCAACTTGACCGGCACTATGTGGTCTGCTCCTTACTGTACACATGGCTGGCAAAGAGAAGGAAACATGGAGCCACCATTTTGAACAGGTCTAGTCCCAGGGAGCCTCTTCCTATTGGCATATAACTGCCGACATTCACCCATGCAAGCTTCCAGCTTGCTTGTCTATGTCTGCAGCTCAATTTTACAGGCCACTCTTCGTTAGAAAACAAAATGATTCGGGGGCTGCTTTTTATTAAAAGGAAAACCTTAATGAGGACTCTCGTATCCTCACTATATGCCTAAATTATTACTTCTTAACTCCATATCACTACCTATGTCCAGAGCTTTCACAAAAACATTTTTTTTCCATGAACGTTTGCCGAACTGGTTTCTGTATGGGGGCAAAGGCTGAGGATCTCCTTTTCCACTAACATGTTGATATTACTCTCCGATCCTTGCATTTTTCACTTTGTTAGCTAACAATTATTTAATACTAAAAAATAGAACTGACAAGGTCACTTAATGTCATATACATTCCATATAATCTAATAAAAGAAGAATATTTAATACTTTTTCATATATGCTAATTGTAATGCTTATCACCTACCTGTCCTAGAAATATGCTACTTTTGAAATCAATGAATTTGAATGGTATGGATGGTCCCCAACTTACAGTGATTTGACTTATGATTTTTTTAACTTTACAATGGTGCAAAGCCATTGCAATTTCATGTAGTTCAAATTTTGAATTTTAGTCTTTTTCTTGGCTAGTTGTATGTGGTATATGAGATATTCAACGCTTTATTATAAAATGGGATTACTGTTAGATGACTTTACCTGCTGTAGGCTAATCTAAGTATTATGAGCACATTTAAGGTAAGCTAGGGTAAGCTGTGATATTCAGTAGGTTAGGTGTATTAAATGCATTTTTGACTTATGGTATTTTTGAACTTACTAGGGGTTTATTGGGATGTAACACCATCATAAGTTGAGGAGCATCTCTATATTCATGATTTATTTGAGGATGAAGTCTTTATTTAGGAACTAGTGAGAAACAATTCTTAGAAAGATGCAAAAATGTTTTCTCAAGACTGGAGAATATGCTCAATGATGCAATTACATAAATTTACAGTTTGACTAACACTTTCCCAAATATGCAAATGGTGCAGAATAAAATTTAATATTATTCTATAACTTTTCTTTTGTGTTTGGCCTGTTGCAATTTTGGAAGTAAGCCGATTATTTGGGAACTATTTGGTAGTTTGTGTGTATGTATGGGTGTCAGGTAACGTAATTTTCAATAGAATTGCTGTGATGTACCAAATATGATATTCAACATTACACTGAATTATCTTACAAAATGTCAGGTTTTCTGAGGGAAAATAAATGCCTCCATATAGCAAAGTATAAATATTTAGGCATATACCAGGTACCCCAAAATGAGGAATTGCACTAACTGATTAAATAATAGTATGAGGAAATATAAACTTGCTGGTAGCATACCTTCACTAAACATGCAACTAGAAGTTGCATAGCACAATGGTGTTCAGAGTTTTTAGTGAATACAAGATAGGGAACACACAGTATGCTTCATATTATCACAGAAGTTATGTATGAACCATAGAGAAATAAAAGGTTGGAATAAAATATTTTGGATGGGAAGGAGACTGGATAATGAGAGAGAGAAAGAGAGGGAGAGAGAATATTCAAACATTTTACTTCACCCCAAGCCCAACACACAAACATCAAAGAATCTGGAGAATCTGAGAAAATCAGTGCTGGTTCACTGCTTTCCTAGTCAAAAACTGAGGAGATACTCAGCTTTTCAGAAAAGTCCTACATTAAGAAGGGCGCTATATACAACATAATGTTACAGTAGAAGACTGGAACGGCTATAACAAGTAACTAGTTAAAAGTGACTGAGTCCTACATACCTGAAAAAAGTACGGAGAAAGTAACTGAAAGGTCCTCATGACTCAGCTCAAGCCTTACTTCCTCTGTGAATCATTTTATGTTGTCTCAGACCCTCAACAATATCTTTATTCCCTTTAATAACTAGAGCAGCCATAATTTGCTTTTACACATTTGCTTCTGCTTTTCCAAAAATTCACACAATACGTTGCCTATTTTAGTACTGTATACCCAGCTAGAGTAAAACATCCTTATGAAGTAACTGTCTTATACCTTTCATCCCCATACTTGGAAATGAAATAGATATTCCATAGCTTATTGATTTATTTTCTCTTTATACACTAACTTTTCAGTGCCATTGACTTTGAAAAAAAATACTTCTATGTCTTCATATTTTAATACAATGACAGGGGCATTAATAATTACAATATTTATTCACATAATAATTCATCAACATCTGGTAATTTTTTAGAGCAAAATGTTTACATTTATATTGAAATATACACTAAAACAGAATGAGTAGACACTAGTCAATGAAACTTTGCCAAAGCAAAATCACAAATATCCATTGGGGAGGTCCAGGCAGCTAGCAGCAGTGATCCTCAAACATGAACACCAAGGAGAAGCCTGGATGTACTCCAAAAAGCCTCCTTGTAAGAGGCCCCAACTCACTTCTCCCACATTTACCCACATGGAGTTAGGAGCTTGGACATGCTCCTCATATTCATAATTTTTAGTTTCTTCTTCACTGCAATAAAAATAAAATTGACAATGCTCATGCACCACAGCACAGACAATATTTCAGGCTTTAGCAAATAACTGTAAACAGTGCCTCGGTTAAAAAAATAAAATGAAACTAAATTGAATTTTTTTTTAAACAATGAGACAAAATTCCTAAGAGCAGGGCATGAGCTACTCAAGATTTGTTTTGTTAGGTTAAAGTTTCTGGTGAAAGATTCTGGTTTAGGCAGATGCCCTCAATAGTCCAAGTAAACCCAGGTTGGTAGGCAGATCACTGTCTATGGAAATCCAGAATACATGGACAGGAAGACAACCTACCCTAGATCATCTTTGGCAGTGCATCTTCAACCTGCCACATTCGAGAAACAACCACAGACATCTTTATAATTCCATCACTGGCTGCCATCTAGTGTAGCAGGAATGTGGGTGAAGGAATAAAAGCTTGCTGGGAGAGGAAAGGAATAGTATCTCTGCTAGCTACCTGGAAAGTTGGCTCCTTAATCACAATGACAACTAGGACATTTCACTTGGACAGTGCATTAAATTTAAATAATTTTTTAAAAGTAAAAATAACAAGCAGTAAGTTCTGTCACTGAAGCAAATTGGGATGTCAATCAAGGAAAAATAGATTTAACTATTTTTTGCTTAAAGTAGTGCAAAGAAATCTGGCAAAAAATGAAAGTGAATTCGACATCTGCACATGAGAGTAACTTGGTAGAATTTTTTTTAAAGGCTAGTGGTTCAAATACTGTTGCTTGAATGGCTCTGGTAGATATAAAATGTAGTAACATCTGAGGTTTATACACACGAGCAAAGGAGCTGAGGGCCAGCTCACAAAAGGATATTCTATCCTCAGTCAAGAGAGAAGCTAAAAGCGCATGCTGCAGGAGTAACCTAATGTATTTATTTGGTCTGTACTCCCACCTTCTGACAAATAGAAAAAGACCTGGCTATAAATCTTTTTTTTTTTTTTGACTTTTTTGTATTTTTGTATTTTTGTATTTTTATTTTTCCCATGAGTTATTGGGGTACAGGTGGTATTTGGCTTCATGAGTAAGTTCTTTAGTGGTGATTTGTGACATCCTGGTGTACCCATCACCTCAGCAGTATATACTGTGATACCATCTTACTCCTGCAAGAAAACTGTCTTTGACACACAAAAATCTGGCTTAATTCAGATACCTCAGCTAAGGAAAATATCTCTTGTTAAAAAGTCAGTAACCTGGGCTTCTAAAAATAAAAAGAAAAATTGTAATATAGTAAACAAGTTTACTAAACACCATGTGTATTTTCTGTTGTTAATAAAGACAAGATACATGCAAAAAAGTATGTTTTTAATAAAACACAGAATAAAACCAAAAAAAAATTCTAGAAAGAGACTTCACAAGAAAAAAAATGAGCCCAAGTTCTGTCTCTCTCAATCAGAAGTTGGTCTTAGCACAAATCAGTAACCTCTCCTCCAACACACAAAAGCACTGCAATTTGCCTTTCAGGTAGAGCATAAAGAATACTTTACTGAATTTGAACATTAAGCAAAATCACTGCAGATCATATTCTGATGGGTTACTTTAATACCTACCTGGTCCAGTTCAAAATATCTGTAGACCCAGTTTGTACATATTCCATAGGCATACTGAATAAACTATATATTATTCCATTATTTTTTAAATGGCAGTTCTTATAGCTCAAGCAAACATTAAGATTATAAAGAGCTCTCTTGAAATAAACTTTCAGATGAAGTACATTAATGAGACACCTTAGAAGTGAAACAAACTTAGTTTTTTTTTTTGACTGGAATGATGGGATAAAGGTAGAATGTCTATGCTGAAGAGCAGTTTCACTTGTTTCCCCATGGAAAAAGGTCCAAAATTTTGGATGATAATTTAAAAACGAAGCCAATAAAAAAATTAAATATGCACCTTAAGATATTATAAAACTTGAAATAATGTCAGGTGCTTTGGAATGGGAAACAGAGTTCTGATTCTTTTCCCCAAAAAGGAAACTGTAACAGGTTTTAAGAGAAAAACAAAACAAACAAGAACTCTGAATATGAATAGCAATACACAGACTCTAAAGCACAGAAAACCACACAAGAATGAGTTTTATAGCAGTACTGTTGCCAGTTACTCTCCTGATAGTACTGCTATAAAACCTAGGTCAAAAATGTGTTAAAAGCTTGTAATGTCAATAAGGACCGAAAAAAAAAAAAAAAGAGGGGAGGAGGGAAAAAACGGAGGAAAGGGCACATGCACAGGTCTATTATAGACATGATATTCAGCAGCATAAAAATAATACTCTCCAAAGAGTCCCCCTATTGTGGCAAAACCTGTTTTTCACTGCTAAGCATGGAAAAGATTAAGAAAGCAGGACAAATTCATTTGTAACTATCGCATCTTCCATATTTGAATGACAAGCATGTTCAATCTGATGCTACATGTTAAGAAAATATTCAGGATACATATGAAAAAAGAAACATAAAAACAAAAGGCTAAATTATCAACCGTAAGAATTAGAAAAAGCATGTTTTAAAGCCAAGTAGGTGTAATTCCGATAACTATTATATATGACATAATCCGCAGAAAGAAGGGCCAGGAAAATAATCTTTATATTGTTCAGTATTTAGGCTTGATGTTGTCCTCGGAAAACAGTAATAATTCAATGCATGTGTTAGACAGACAACTAAAAGGTCAGCTTCTGGTTTCAAATGAATTTAAACAACAATCTTCCTTGGCTAATTTTTCTCCTCTGTCAAACAAACATTCTATGTACAGGACCAGTTTAAATCCCTCCTCTCCTCCAAACACTAGAAATGAAAGGGAATCTAACTGCACCATGGAGTCTCTTTGTCTTTACAGTCCAAAACGAATCTGTTGTGCTGAGACATCCATCTGGCATCTCCTTGAATATCTTCTGCTGCATGTGGAATAGCTGCTGGGTTTGAGTTTCCTTGGTCCATTCTACACTGAAGTAGAAGGTTCGTGGAGGCCCCAAGCAGCGGAAGCATCAGCGGGTGGCGAGTGTGTCTCTCACTGGGTCCGGTAGCCCACTACAGTGCCTCCCTCCTCCAGCCCTAGCAGCAGCAGCAGTGACAACACCTGGCAATTTTTAATAGGCTTCTCAGTCATTATTGAGAATTAGTAAAAACCAACTAAAGTTGTGTATTAACTAACTTGACTGCTCCAGCTACATATAGAGTTAACTGACACTGACCGAATTTAAATTCAGTCATTTACATTCAGTGATTGTTGTTACACTCTATTTCAAGATAGGCTATTATAAAGGATACAGTTTACTTACCATTGATTTTGATAATGTGTTTATATATAAACAAAAAAGCAATAAGCATAGAAAATGTAAGGAATGCATTTTAATTATAACTTATCCTAAGACCATGTCACTAATATTTAAACATTTTAATAAAATATGTCAAAAGGTATGAAATGTGTAGCCCATCAAACATTGCTTAAAATAACATAGGCATCTTTTGATTTTGTTTGTTTGGATGTAGGCTTAAGAATGTTAGTAGAAATGAATGTAGGGATCATGGGGAAAAAGATTTGTGTCTCAAAGTATTTGCAGATAGAAAAAATGTAATGTATTAAAATATATCCTAGATTCTCAGAAGTATAAGAAAATGTAGAGATTATTTAAGCTTAACTTTACGTTAATTAAGAATGCTTTTCTGCTATAAAAACACAATTTTCCAATAACAAGTATTATAACCAGCCAAAGCAATTAATATAATTATTTTTGTATAACAGGCACATATTTACTTACCATTTACTAATGTACCTTTCCAATGGGACCATTTATATCAGAGACCATTTAGAATAAATTCAATTTTATGCATATTTTTGAAATGCTTTCTATATTCAAAACACTTCTAGACTGTCGGGGTGATATGGTTTGGATCTGTGTCCCCATCAAATCTCATGTTGAATTGTAATACCCAGTGTAGGAGGTGGGGCCTGGCGAGAAGTGATTTAATCATGGGGTGGAGTTTTCATGAAGAAGCCACTAAGCTTCCTGTACAGCCTGCAAAACCCTGAGCCAATTAAACTTCTTTTCTTTATAAATTACCCAGCCTCAGGCATTTCTATATAGCAATGCAAGAACAGATATGATATGGTTTGGCTCTGTGTCCCCACTCAAATCTCATCTTGATTTGTAATCCCCATATGTCAAGGGAGGGATCTGTAATCCCCATATGTCAAGGGAGGGATCTGTAATCCCCATGTGTCAAGGGAGGGAAGTGATTGGATCATGGGGGAAGTTTCCTCCACGCTGTTCTTGTGATAGTGAGTGAGTTCTAATGAGATCTTATGGTTTTATAAGTGTTTGACAGTTCCTCCTTCACTCTTCTCTCTCCTGCTGCCTTGTGAAGAAGTTGCCTGCTTCCCCTTTGCCTTTTGCCATGATTTTATGTTTCCTGAGGCATCCCCAGCCATGCAGAACTGTGAGTCAATTAAACCTCTTTCCTTTATAAATTACCCAGTCTCCGGTATTTTTTGTAGCAGTGTGAAAATGGACTAACACAAACTAATACAGAAAATTGGTCCTCAAATTAGGGTATTGCTATAAAGATACCTGAAAATGTGGAAGCAACTTTGGAACTAGGTAACTGGCAGAGGTTGGAGGAGTTTAAAGGGCTCAGAAGAAGACAGGAAGATGAGGGCAGAGACTTTCATGGCAGCTCCTCCCATCACAGGCTTGTAGGCCTAGGAGGGAAGAATGGTTTTGTAGGTCAGGACTAGGGCCCCACAGCACCGCACAGTCTCAGGACACTGCCCCCTGTATCCCAGCCACTCCAGCCCAGCTGTAACTCAAATAAGCCCAGGTACAGCTCAGGCCACTGCTTCAGAGAGTGAAAACTGTAAGCCATGATGGCTTCCATGTGGTGATAAGCCTGTGGGTTTACAGAGTGCAATTATTGAGGCTTCGGAACCTCTGCTTAGACTTCAGAGGATGTGTAGAAAAGCCTACATGTCCAGGCAAAAGCCTACTGCAGGGGCAAAACATTCACTAGGTCAGTATGAAGAAGAGATGTGGGGTTGGAGCCCCCACAGAGTGGGGCTGTGAGAAAAGGACCACCATCCTCCAGACCCCAGAATAGTAGACCCATCAACAGCTTGCACCATGTGCCTGGAAAAGCCATAGGCACTCAATGCCAGCTCTTGAGAGCAGCCACAGGGGCTGAACCCTGCAGCATCACAAGGGTGGAGTTGCCCAAGGTTTTGGGAGCCCTCCCTTCACACCAGTGTGTTCTGGATATGAGACATGGAGTCAAAGGAGATTATTTTGAAACTTATTGGGAACTCAAGTAAAGGTCATTTTTGCTATGTTTTAGCAAAGAGCCTGGCTGCATTGTATTGCTACCATAGGGATCTGTGGAACTTTGAACTTGAGAGTGATGATTTAGGGTATCTGGCAGAAGAAATTTCTAAGTAGCAAAGCATTCCAGATTTGGCCTGGCTGCTTCTAACAACCTATGCTAATATGTGTGACCAATAAATGGCCTGAAACTAGAACTTACATTGAAAGGGAAAGCATAGCATAAGTGTTTTGAAAATTTTTAGCTTGGCCACATGGTAGAAAAGAGAAGCCCATTTTCAGGAAAGCAAATGAAACAGGCTGCAGAAATTTGCATAACTAAAAGGAAGGCTTGTGCTTATAGCCAATACTATGGGCAAGAGGCCTGGAAGGCATTTCAGAGACCTTTGTGGCAGCCCCAACCATCATAGGCCTGGAGGCCTAGGAGGATAGAATGGTTTTGCAGGCCATACCTATGGTCCTGCTTCTCTGCTCAGCCTTGGGACATGGCTCCCTGAAGGCTAGCTCCTCTGGCTCCAGACTAAGCTCAAAGGGCCCTAGATACAGCTTGGGCTGCTACTCAAGAGGGTTCTAGCCATAAGCCTTGGCAGCTTCCAAGTGGTGTAAAGTCTGCAGGTACACAGAGTGCAGGAGTCGAGACTTGTGAGCCTTTACCTAGATTTCAGAAGATGTATAAAAGAGCCTGGATTTCTAGCAGAAGTCTGCTACACGAATAGAGCCATCATGGAGAACTAGGGCAGTTTAGAGGAGAAATGTGGGGTTGGAGTGTCCCCACACAAAGTCCCCACTGGGACTTTGCCTAGTGGAGCTGTGAGAAGAGGGCCACCATCCTCCAGACCCCAGAATTGTAGATCCACTGACAATTTGCACCATGCACCTGGAAAAGCTGCAGGTGCTCAACACCATACACTTAGAGCAGCTATGGGGGTTGACTCCTGCAAAGCCATAGGGGCAGAGCTGCCCAAGGCCATGGGAGCCCACCCCTTTCACAAGTGTGCCTGGGGCATGATACATATAGTCAAAGGAGATTATTTTGAAGCTCTGATTTATAATGACTGCCTTGCTCAATTATGGACTTGCATGTGGCCTGTAGCCCCTATGTTTTGGTTCATTCCTCCCTTTTGGAATGGGAATATTTACTCAATGCCTACATCCCAATTTATCTTGGGAATAACTACCTTGTTTTTTATTTTAAAGGGTCGTAGGCAGAGGGACTAACCTTGTCTCAGATGAGCAGTGATATTCTGGGTGTTGAGCAGGTTCACTGTCTTCTGTTGGGCCCAAACAGCAGAGGTCTCATGGAACTTATTTCATTTCCCAGTGTAATGTGTTCTTTTTTCCCAGTATTATTTTTTTCCATTGGGTTGGAACAGTTTAACCTTCAAGCCAGTAGGAGGCACCTACAATGTAAGAACTGGCTGCAGCTGAAGCATTTACATATATGCAATATCCCAATGGTGAACAAAAGTCTCAGTCCTGACAGAGGCAGCTGGAGGAGCTCCCAGTGAAATGCAGTGATGTCTTTACAGAGGGAAGGGAGAGAATGGCCTCAGCTCCTCCACTAGCAGGACAGCAGGAAAATGCTTCACCTTCCCATCATGCCCCTGTCCCAGTGTTCCATATATTCGGATCAAACAAGCACCTCTATTCATCTGCAGGGATACTGATGGATCATGAAGAGAGGGAGTGGGACTACACCTCTCATGCAGTATTGATACTGGAGGGCACATCTCCCATGGGGATGCAGTCATGGTGAAGTGCTTCAGAAAGTCTACCTACAGGTACACCTGCACCAAGCTCCTACAAGAGAAGCCCCAGCTGTGTCTACAGTGGTTGGAGAGGGGAGAGAAGTCCCCTTCTCTAAGTCACTTCATGAATAGCAGGGCTGCTTGACTGCTGTGGCAGAGCTGCAGTCTTCCCCCACTGAGCTCAGCACTGCACCAGTGACCCTGCTGAGGAAACTTCCCACAAGCAGGAAGCTCTGGGACACAGAAAACCTTGCAGTCTGGTTTCTTTTGCCCACAGAGTGCTTCTTTAGTGTGGTTAATTCCTCATTACCCTAAGAGAAGGGGTGATCCTCAAAGGCCAGACTACTGTGAATCCTGTGACTCCTATTGGTCTAGCTGCCCTATGGGGCTGCCACCATCCAGGCTGCTTCTGGGGAATGTCTGCAAGGGATCCAGCGATGTGAAGACACAAGGGTTGAAGGTCCCACAAGGGGTGTGCACCCAGTATGACACCCCCTATTGCAGCTCAGATCGAGGAGGAAAGGGAAGGGACAGTGTGTAATCTTGTAGCCCGGTGTAATGTTCTTGAGAAGTCCCCAATTCATAGCCCATGCCATTACTTGGATTCATGAAAGCAAAGAAGATCTCCCTGAGTTTGGATATCAGCAGTGTGCCACAAAGGCTAGCAAGGCTGAATGCACTCCCACCTACCCTTTCCATGGGATACTCGCTCAGTGTTTGATCCCTGCCAGCTTCTTATTACTTTTGTTTGTATGTGTATCATAGATTCCTCCAATGAACCTTGTGATAGGCTTCAGTACTCTTAACACTCCATCTGGGATATGACTATTCACCTCTAATTTTGGTTCATCCTTCTGAGGTCACTGACATTTTGAGTCAACCATTTGGAGAAGCTTTCTGATGCCTCAGGGGAACTGATCTGTGGTATATGCAGTGGCTTCAGCTCCACTCTTAGCTCTAGAGGGGAGTAATATTGGGTGGAGCTGGACTGAGCTGACCTGTCCTCTGGTCTCTCAGTGGCAGGTGCAAACACCATCTCTGATGGGAGTTGCAAGGAGGTGACATGAAATCTGTAAGATTTCCTTGGTTGTAAATTGCCTTAGGGTAGTACCTTTCTCAATTTCCAGCTGTAGTATTACTGTACTGGGCATACGAACAGGCTGAAGGCCTCTTGGGTAGCTGAGGTATTGTTGGCAATGATGTTAGCTGAGGTCATGCAAAAATTTTCTTCTTCCCAAGTGATGTGTTATTGTGTCTGCAAATGTGCTGGTTGACCAGTGACCAAGAGGTGGTACTTGCAGGAGAGATCCTGCTGCAGTGGTGGCTGTGGGATTTATGCTTGGCCTATGTTTCCCAGAAGAAGACGTCAGATGTCTCAGACAATAAGTGGAACCATAGACTTCCCACAGGTTCCTGTCCATGTTCTGCTGCCAAAGTAGGTGGAAAGGCAAATCTTGGTTGGGACTGAGTAATGCTCTGGCTCTCCACATGTGAGTACAAGTAGCATCCCCAGTGAGGATTGGAGGGCTGTTCCCTGCCTGCTGGGGGAGTGTTCCAGGAAGTAGCAGAATTGCCTAGTCTGCAGAGAGAAGTCTACGTGGGTAGATAGGTGTAGCGGGTGGCAGTGAGATCCACCCAGATCCCATGCTTTGACATAGCCAGTCTCACATCCACAGCCTCCTGCTGGCAGAAAGCTTCAACAGCTAGCTTGGTCCCAGTCCATCTGCATGCCGAATGCACAACTGCCTCAGGCTACAAGCCTTCCCACCTGAAATAGAAACTGTGGCTTTAAGGCCATACTGCAAGTTTGCTCACCTGTGCAGCCAGAGTGTTTAACTCTTGTGACTGTGGCAAGAGCACACATCCAGCTAGCCTCTCAGTTCGGATTTATTCCTGCTTGACATTAGATTATAATCGTAGTTGGGAGCTTCTCCCAACCTGTGACCACTGCCTGAGTTGGCTGGCAGAATTCCATGAGGTGCCTTATATGTTAAAATCAGGAATGACTTCCTTCTGTCCCAGCTGGATTGTGGGAGTGCACACAAAGCATGTCCCGATGTTGCTCCTTCTCATATGCCCCGCAACTGTTCACCAAATTAGCTCTAGCACTGGGTTGGGTTAAGGCAGTCTCCTATGGCTTGAATTGCCCAACTTCCCAGTGGATGTGCGAATCATGGAGATAGTCTCTCTCTTTTATGCTCTGGAGACTCACAGTTCTCCACCTGATTCACGGTACAGGTTGCTGCCCATCCTTTTTTATTTTTTCAAAGTGTATAAAGTTTCTTTCAAATTTTCTGTGGAGTTTCTGTGTTATTTCTTAGATAAAACTTCACACTGTGAATTTCTATACACTATCTTGCTCTTCCCAAGAGGATGAGGCATGCTAACTAAGCTTTCAAACCTCTATCTTGGAAAAAATCCAAATGTTTAATTATTCTGTCATGTGATCAATCTTATTCACTTTGTTCAGAGTTACTTCTAAATCCTTGAAGATTGACTCTTCTAGTAGTAAATACTGGCATTGACAATTTAATATCAGAGTAATCATATAAGTCATAGTTTAAAAATTTATACATCTGAAATAAAAAGAGGAAATCATAATATTATGCTGGGACAGTAGGCATAAAACTGAAGTTTTCCTCAGTGAACTTAAGCCTAAATTTACCCTACTTAAAGTAGATCTGACGATAGCATCTCTAGTGTTTACATTTGTCTCTCCCTTTTTCTGAGATCGCAATCCAAATGTACTGACATGATCAAAAATATACACTGAGCATATTTCCATTTCATTGTAGAAAATTAATATAATGGATGTATCATTAAGTCTCTTAAGTATGTTCCTAAAAATATGTGCTATATGCCACTTTTTAGAGTCTTAATTTGTCTTTTCCTAGGCATTAATTCACTTGATCCTTGCCACTACACGTGAAACAGTTAAAGCATACTTGGTCTTTACTAAGGAGAACATACTGGTTCAGAGAGGTTATCAGTGTTCTAAAGGTCTCATATTTATTAAGTGATAGTAGCAGAATTCAACCTAAAGTCTTCTGTTTCCATGTCCAGTACATTTTATGTCATTCTACTTTAAAGCATCTATTCATATCTCTTGTATTATGTCTTATATTCATTAATTCAATATTTAAGTCAACAAACAATTTGATTAATGTAAGGAACTGTTGAAATTTTATTAACATGTTAGCATATTAACTTTTTGTTCAGTTCCCCCTTAGTAAGCGGGAGGTCTCACACTCTTTTAACAATTATATCTCACAAGACCTGAGTGGGAATTCACTTATCACTAAGGGGATGACACCAAGCTATTCATCAGTGATCTGTCCCCGTGATTTAATACGTCCCAGTAGGTCCCACTTCCGACACTGGAGGTCACATTTTAACATGATATTTGGAGGGCACAAACATCCAAGCTATGTCGTTCTGCCTCTGGCCTCCCAATTCTCATGTTCTTCTCACTTTACAAAATATATCATGCCTTCCCAATACTCTCGCAAAGTCTTGACTCATTTCAGCATAAAGTCCACATTTTAACTTGAGATTTGGAGGGGACAAACATCCAAACCATATTGCATTCTTGTGAAGAGCATTTTGAATATAAAGCACACTATAAAGATAAAAGGCATCCCTTTGTCTCTGATGAATTATGTGTGATAACGTACAAATTTTCTATGAATATTAACATAATGTTGTAGAATGACTACATAAAGTCATTCTAGAATAGAAATTATATTATGAAAATAGGTGTAGATCAAATAACTAAAAACATTGTGGAAGCTTTGTAAAAATCTAGAAGGATTGTATGAATATTGTTTTATTTTTGTCTTTTAATTCTGGTTCCACTTTAAAGAAATTCAAACTATAAATCATAGACTGCATTATGGGTGTGATTAATACAAAAAAGATGATTCAGAACTTATTTAGAGGACATTATGTGCAAAGATATCATTTCTACTTTAAAAGATTGACATGAATAAGTTGTATACTTAAAGTAAAATGTATCTACTTGTATATATTTTTAAAAATAGAGATATGATTTAAAAAACCATTAAAATTACTATTTTAAAGTGCACAGTTATGAGGGTATTGCCATATAAACCAAATTGCACAACCATCACTACTATCCAGTTCCATAACATTTCCCCACCACCCTGCCCCTCCAGTGAAAATATCTTCCTGCCAGGCATGGTGGCTCACACCTGTAATCCCAGCACTTTGGGAGGCCGAGGAGGGCGAATCATGAGGTCAAGAGATCGAGATCATCCTGGCCAACATGTGAAACCCTGTCTCTACTAAAAATACAAAAAATTAGCAGGGTATGGTGGCGGGCGCCTGTAATCCCAGCTACTCGGGAGGCTGAGGCAGGAGAATCGCTTGAACCCGGGAAGCAGAGGTTGCAGTGAGCCGAGATCGCGCCATTACACTCCCAGCCTGGGGGACAAGAGTGAGACTTCTTCTCAAAAAAAAAAAAAAAGAAAAAGAAAAGAAAATATTCCATGTTAGCAGTCATTACCCTTTACCCTCCAAATTCTGGCAAACATCAATGTGTTATCAGTGTCTATGAATTTGCCTATTCAAGACATCTAATAAAATGGAATCATAAAATATGTATCTGTTTATGCCTGGCTTCATGTAGTTAGAATTTTTTTTAATATTAATTCATGTCATGGCATGAATTAGGACTTTTTATTACTTTTTATGACTGGACTCTATTTCATTTTATGGATGCAAAACATTTGTTTTCTATTCACTAATGGATAAGCTTTGAGGTTGTTTTCACTTTGGGCTATTATTAATAATGCCATTATGATCACTCATGTACAAGATTTAGTATAGATATACATTTTTAATTGGTTTGAATGTATATTTCGAACTGGAATTGGTGAGTCAAGTGGCAGTTCTATGTTTAACTTTTTGAGGAACATCCAAATTATTTTTGAAATGTTTACACCATTTTACTTTCTCACCAACAATGTGTGAGGATTTCAAATTTTCCACATTCTTAGCAACACTTTTTATTATCCATTTATTAAACTTGTTATTGTAGCCATCTTAGTGAGTAGGTGGCATTATCTCATTATGGATTTGACTTGCATTTCTCTAGTTGACTAATAGTTTTTAACACCTTTTCAAGTGATTATTGGTCTTTTGTATATCTTCCTTAAAGAAATGTCTATTCAGATACTTTACCCATTTTTAATTGGCTTGTGTTTTTATTATTGAGTCTTAAGTTTCTTATATATTCTGAACACTAGGTGCTTATGACACTGACCAAATATATATTTTGCAAATAATTTTATCCATTATGTGTGTTTCTTTTTAACTTTCTTGGTAGACTCTTTCAAAGCAAAAATAAGCTTTTCAATTTTGATGCATTCCAACTTATCTATTTTAGGGGGGTGCATTTGTGCCTCAGGTACCATATCTAAGAAACCATTGTATAGTCTAAAGTTATACAGATTTACACCTATGTTTTATTCTAAGGGTTCTATAATTTTAGGTCATGCATCTAGATATTTGATGATTTTTGAATTATTTTTATATCTAGTGTGGGTTAGGATTCCTAATAATTCCTTTTGAATGTGATTCAGTTGTCTCAGTAGTATTGGTTGAAACAAATATTTTTCCCCATTAATTTGCCTTGGGGGCTGTTGAAAATAAATTGACCATAGTTGTATGGGTTTATTTTTGGACTGTCAATTATAATCTATTGTTATACGTCTATTTTTATGCAACTACTACAACTACTACACTGTTTTTATTGCTGTAACTTTTTAGGAAGTTTCAAAATCAGGAAGTTTCAAAATCAGGCAGCTTTAAAATTCCATCTTTGTCTCTCTACTTTTTAAAATCTCTGTTCTGTAAATTATTTTTATTTATTTTTAATTGGCAAATAAAGTTGTACATATTTATGATGTACAACATAATGTTTTGCAATGCATATACATTTTTGAATGACTAGATTAAATTAACCTATGCATTACCTCACATATTTATTTTTTGGTGATGAGAACTCTTAAAATCTACTCACTTAGCAAGTTTTGAGGATGCAATACATTGCTACTAACTATAGTAACCAAGTTGTCAATAAATATCTTGCACTTATTCCTCCTATCTAACTGAAACTTTGTTTTATTTGACCATTTTCCCAGCATCTGCCCCCACCCACAGACTATGGTAACCACCATTCCACTCCCCCCTTCCATGAGTCCAACTTTTTTTGATTCCATATATAAATGAGATCATACAGTATTTGTTTTCCTTTTCCTGATTTATTTCACTTGGCATAAATTTCTCTAGGTTCATTCATGTCCTAATAAATGACAGGATTTCCTTATCTTTTAAGGTTGAATGTATTCTACTGTGTATATATGCCACACTTCCTTTATATATCTGTTATTGGACACTTAGGTTGATTCTATATCTTAGCCATTGTGAGGAATGCTGAAACTAACATGAGAGTTCAGCGATCTTTTCATATGCTTATTTTATTTCTTTAGATATATACTGATAAGTGTTGAATGTGTCCCGCAGAGTCCATGTGTTGGCAATTTCATCCCCAAAGGAAAAGTGTTGAGAGGTGGGAACTTTAAGAGGTGACTAAGTGATGAGGGTTCTCCCTCAGGAATGGATTAATATTGTTATTGTAAAAGTGGGTTAATTATCTTGAGAGTAGGTTTTTGATAAAAGGATGAATTTAATCTCCTTCTCTCTTTTATGTGCACACTCTAACCATGTAATGCTTTCCACCATGTTATGACACAGCAAGAAGCTGCTCACCTAATGTGGCCTCTAGATCTTGATACTCTCAGCTTCCAAAACTATGAGACAAATCAATTTCTTTTTATTATAAATCACCCAGTCTCAGATACTCTGTTATAGCAACACAAAATGGAGTAAGACATATACATTGTAGTGGGAATGCTGAATCATATGGTACCTTCATTTTTAATTTTTTTAACAACTAGCATACTGTTTTCCATATCAGCTTCACCATTTTACATTCCTACCAACAATGTGGGTTCCCATTCCTCCACATCCTCACCAGCATTTGTTATATTTCATCCTTTTGATTAAAGCTATTATAACATGTATAGGGTGTTAGTTCCTTGTGGCTTAAATTTGCATTTCTCTGATAGTGGTGTTGAGCATTTTTTTTCATATACTTATTGGCCATTTGTATGTCTTCTTTTCAGAAATGTATATTAAGATCATTCGCTCATTTTTAATAGTGTTTTTTTTCTAACGAGTTGTTTAAATTTTCTATTTTGGATATTAACCTTTTTATCAGATATATGGTTTGCAAATATTTTCTCCCATTATGTAGGTTGTCCCTTCACTCTGTTGTTTTTTCATTTGTTGGTTTGTTGTTTGTTTGTTGTTGCTGCTGTGTAGAAGCTTTGTAGTTGGATATAATTCCATTTGTCTATTTTCAGTTTTGTTGCATGACCTTTTGGGAACACCTACAAAAAATCATTGCCCAGACCAATGTCACAGAACTTTTTCCCTATGCTTTCTTCTAGTAGTTTTATAGTTCCTTGTCCTATATTTAAGTGTTTAATACATTTTTGAGCTGCCTTTAATATATGATGTCAGATGAGAGTCTAATTTCATTCTTCTGTATGTGAATATTCAGTTATTCCAACACTATTTATTGAAGAGACTCTCTTTTGTGTATTCTTGGCACCTTTGTCAAAGATCAATTGCATAAATATATTTCTGGGCTCCTTTTCTCCCAGTACCATACTGTTTTGATTACTGGGACTTTAAAGTGTATTTTGAAGTAAGATAATATGGTGCCTCTGGATTAGATTTTTTGTTTAAATTGCTTTGGATATTGAGAGTCTCTTGTCGTTCCATATAAACTGCAGGATTGTTGTATTTTTTTCTGTGAAAAATGTCATTGCTATTTTGATACAGATTGCATTGAATCTGTAAATTACTTTGGGTAGTATAGTTATTTTAACAAAATTAATTCTTCTGATACATAACCATATCATTTCAATTATTTGTTTTTTTTTCTTGAATTTCTCTCATCAATATTTCATAGTTTTCAGTAACAGGCCTTTCTTCTCCTTGATTAAATTTTAATTTGATGTATTTTATTTTTATATTGTAACTAATGTAAATAGGGTAATTTTTTTCAGATATATTATTGTTATTGTATAAATATACTACTGACAATTGTATGATGGTTTTGTATCCTACAACATTATTGAATTTGTTTATTAGTTTTAACAGCTTTGGGGAGGAGTCTTTAGGGTTTTCCATATATAAGATTATGTTGTCTGCAAACACAGACAATGTATCTTTTTCCTTTCCAATTTGGATGTTTTCATATTTTTCTTTTGTTGAATTGCTTTGAATAGGATTCCCAGTACTTTGTTGAATAGAAGTGATGAGATTGGTCATTTTTGTTTTGTTCCTGATAAGAGGAAAAACTTTCAACTTTTCACCAATAAACATGATGTTATCTTTGGGTTTGTGACATATGACCTTTTATGTGTTGAGGTATATTTCTTCTATATCTAATTTGTTGAGTGTTTTATGATAAAAGCATGTTGAATTTTGTCAAATGCCTTGTTTGCATCTACAGAAATATCTTTGATGTTTGTCCTTTATTCTGTTAATGTTATGTAGCACATTTATTGATTTGCATATGTTGAATCATTCTTGTATCTTAGGGGTAAATCCCACTTGATCATAATCTTTCTAATGTGCTGTTGTATTTGGTTAGCTAATATTTTGTTAAAGAGCTTTTCATCTATGTTCGTCAGAGATATTGACTTGTAATTTTCTTTTCTTATAGTGTCTTTGTCTAGTTTTGGTATCAGGATAATGCTGGCCTCATAAACTGAGTTTGAATATATTGCCTTTTCTTTACTTTTTTTGGAAGAGTTTGAGAATAATTGGTATTATTAATAGCTCTTATTGAAATGTTTGGCAAAATTTAGCAGTCAAGCCATCAGATCCTGGGATTTTCTTTGATAGGAAACTTATTATAAGTTTTTCACTCTTCTTACACATTGGTCTGTTTAATTTTCTACTTTGTCATAATTCAGTCTTGGCAGGTTGTATGTTTATAAAAATGTATTTTTTTTTCTAGGCTATCCAACTTGTTGGCATGTAATTGTTGATAGCAGTCTCTTATAATTCTTTGTATTTCTGTTGTATCAGTTGCAAATTCTTCTCTTTCATTTTTGATTTATGTATTTGAGTCCTCTCTTTTTTGTTCATCTGGCTAAAGATTTGTTGATTTTGTTTATCTTTTAAGATATAATCCTTAGTTTTGTTGATCTTTTATATAGGCTTTCTGGTCTCTATTTATTTTTTTCGTGATCTTTATTATTTCCTTCCTTATACTAACTTTGGACTTAGTCTGCTTTTGTTTTTCTAGTAACTTGAGGTGTATCATTACATTGTTTATTTTGAGTTTGTTTATCTTTTAAGATATAATCCTTAGTTTTGTTGATCTTTTATATAGGTTTTCTGGTCTCTATTTATTTTTTTCCTGATCTTTATTATTTCCTTCCTTATACTAAGTTTGTACTTGTCTGCTTTTGTTTTTCTAGTAACTTGAGGTGTATCATTACTTGTTTATTTAAGATTTTTCTTATATTTACATAGACAATAATTGCTATAATCTTTTCTTTTAGAACTGCTCTTGCTCCTTATTATACATTTTAGCACACTGTTTATGTAGTTTGGAAGTTTGTCCCCTCCAAAGTTCATGTTGAAATGTGATCCCCACTGTTGAATGTGGGACCTAGTGGGAGGTGTTCGTGCCAAGAGGGCAGGTCTCTCATAAATGGCTTTGTGCTGTCTGTAGCAATGAGTTTGTTCATGTGAGAGCTGGTTGTTTAAAAGAACATAGCATCTCTCTTGCCTGCTGTCTCACCGTGTGGCATGCCTTGTTCCCCTTTTCCATCTGCCATAAGAAAAAGCTTCCTGAGACCTCACTAGAAGCCAAGCAGATGTTGGTGCCATGCTTATACAGTCTGTAGAACCATGAGCCAAACAAACCTCTTTTCTTTATAAATTACCCAGCCTCAAGTATATCTTTGTAGCAACACAAAGCAGATTAATGCAGTTGGGTTTTTATTTATATTTGTCTCAAGATATTTTTAAATTTCTTCTTTTTAATTTCTCATTTTATTGATTGGTTGTTAGAGAGCATGTTGTTTATTTTCCATGTACTTATAAATTTTTCCAAAATTTATTTTGTTAATATTTCCTAATTTCATAATATTTTGGTTGGAAAAGATACTTGATATTATTTCAAAATTTTAAATTTGTTAAAACTTGTTTTGTGAGCTAACATATAATCTATCTTAGAGAATGTTCTATGTGTGGTTGAGAAGAGTGTGTATTCTGCTTCTGTAGAATGGAGTGTTTTGTATATGTCTGGTAAGTTCATTTTATCTAAAGTGTCATTTAAGTCTGATGTTTTCATATTGATCTGTATGGACAATCTGTCCATTGCTGAAAGTGGGGTATGGAAATACCGTACTATTATTGATTTACAGTTTATCTCTTGCTTCATTTCTTTTTAAATTTGTTTTATGTATTTATGTGCTCAAATTTTGAGAGCATATATATTTATAATTGTTATATTATTTGATGAATTGGTCTCCTCATAATTATATAATAACCCTTTTGTATGATTTTACAGTTTTTGACTTAAAGTTTATTTTATCTTATATAAGCATAGCTATCACTGTTCTCTTTCTTTCATTTGCATGGAACTATCTTTTTTCTTCTCTTCACTTTTTTTTTATACTTTAAGTTTTAGGGTACATGTGCACAATGTGCAGGTTAGTTACATATGTATGCGTGTTCCATGTTGGTGTGCTGCACCCAGTAACTCGTCATTTAACATTAGGTATATCTCCTAATGCTATCCCTCCCCCCTCCCCCCACCCCACAACAGGCCCGGGTGTGTGATGTTCCCCTTCCTGTGTCCATGTGTTCTCATTGTTCAATTCCCACCTATGAGTGAGAACATGTGGTGTTTGGTTTTTTGTCTTTGCGATAGTTTGCTGAGAATGATGGTTTCTGGCTTCATCCATGTCCCTACATGTGTAATTACAGGTGAAGTGAGTTTCTTGTATGCAGTACATGGTTGAGTCTTGCTTTTTTTTTACTCACTCAGCTTCTCTATATCTTTTGATTAGAGAATTTAATTCATTTACATTCAGGGTAATTATTTATGGGTAAGGACCTACTCCTTCCATTTCATTAATTTTTTTCTAGTTATTTTGTAAATCATTTGTTCCTTTTTTTCTCTCTTGCTGTCTTCCTTTGTGATTGATTATTTCTAGTACTATGATTTGATAACTTAATTTTTACCTCTTGTTAATTTACTACATGTTTCATTTTGTGATTACCATGAGGTTTATATAAAAAATATTATATTTATAGCAGTCTGTTTCAAGCTAATAACAGCTTACCTTTAGTTGCATAAAAATACTCTACACTTTTACTCCACCATCCACACATAAAAATACTCTACACTTTTACTCCACCATCCACACATATTTTAAATTTTTGATGTCACAACTTATGTCTTTTTATATTTTGTATTCCTTAACTCATTGTGATAGCTATTATTATTTAATAGGTTTGAATCTTTTAACCTTCATGCTACTGTTATATATGATAACACTACCATTACATTATTAGGATATTCTGAATTAGACTGTTTGCTTACTTTTACCAGAGATTTATACTCTCATATGTTTTTGTGTTACTAATTAGCTTCCTTTTCTTTGAGCTTGAAGAATTCCTCGATGCCTGTATCCACAGGTGCCCATCTAGTATTTGAGGCCAGTTGTGCCAACCTAACACTAAAACAGGCCTGCAGCCTGGGGCTTCAGGTTCTGTCTCGGTGCTTGATTAATCTGAGCTCTCTATATGCAAGGGCCAACCTAAAGTCTGGGTCTGCAGCTGTTGGCCTGATGACAGCGCTGTGGGCATTAGTCGGGCATTGAGGCTGGTCTGGGGCCTCGGGCCAACAGGCTCAGACTAGCACTGGGGCAGGCTCAGATATCACGTCTGCTGAGTAGACCCTGAGCCTGCTCCCTTGATGTGCTGTTCTCTCTTTTCTTTTAGGAATGGGGCTTCCTGAGTGCCGAACTGTAGTGATAATTTTCGATCTTCTGGGTCTAGCCACCCAGTGGAGCTACTGGGTTTCGGGCTGGTACTGGGGAGTGTCTGCAGAGTCCTGTGATGTGATCCATCTTCAGGTCTTGCAGCCATGGATACCAGCACCTGCTCCGGTGGAGGAAGCAGGGGTATGAAGTGGACTCTGTGAGGGTCCTTGGTTGTGTTTTTGTTTAGTGCACTGGTTTTGTTTTGGTTTTCCTCCAACCAGGAGGTGACATTTTCAAGATCACAACAGCTGTTGTGCTATAGGGAGGATGCAAATTTGCCCTAGGGACATGGTCCTGACCTTTGGTTTGTAAATAGTTTCACTTTGTGACAGGCCCTGGAACCCCAAATATCCTAGGGGCCTCACAAAGAGAGAAATTCACCCAGTGTATACCGATGTCTTCAGGCACAGATAAATCTTTGGCTGGGCTTGAAGCTTTTAAAAAGGTCTAAACTTAGATGCCTTATGGAAAAGGTTCCAGCAAAGCCAATTGAAGGAGAGAGAGAGAGAGAGAGAGAGAGAGAGAGAGAGAGAAAGCTTATATGGCAAATAATTAAATAATTAACCTTGCTGCACTTTACACAAATCATCAAGTGAAGTAAAATAAGACTAAAATTATTTTACAAATAAATTGGTACTACTATGATTTTGTCCTTAATAAAATAGTGAAATTGAAGAAAGAAAAACTGTTTCAAAATAAACTATAGTACACCTGTTATTAGATTCTTGCCTTGTCTAATGCTTCTCAGGTTATTATTTTCCACAATTTAGACTAAATCCTAAAATTTTTCCTGGCTACAAGTCTCCAAAATAATGTTTTCAATATTTCTCCTCCTTTATTTTCCCTTTCCCCCATTTTTTTCCTAATTTGAAATCACTAAAACTTAAGACATTTTTTCTTACAGCCCTGCAAAATGAAGCTAGACAACATGAACTTCAGAAGAAAGTAACTGCAACCTATTTATATACATAAACCATTTTCTTCTTTTTATTTCAATATATTTAAGGTACCAGTGGTTTTTGGTTACATGAATGAATTCTGTAGTGGTGAATTCTGAGACTTTAGTATGCCGATCATGTGAGCAGTGTACACTGTACTTAATAAGTAGTCTTTTATTTCTCACTCCTGTCCCCTGCCAGAGTCCCCAAAGCCCATTATATTACTCTATATGGCTTTCTGTTCCCACACATTAGCTCCCACTTATAGGTGAAAACATACGGTATTTGATTTTCTATTCCTGAATAACTTCACTTAGAATAAGGACCTCCAGGTCCATTCAAGTTGCTGAAAAAGACATTATTTCATTTATTTTTATGACTGTGTAGTATTTCATAGTGTATATATACCACATTTTTTTTTATCCACTCATTGGTCAATAGGCACTTAGGTTGGTTTCACATCTTAGAAGTTGTGAACTGCAAACATATGTGTTCATGGGACTCTTTCATATAATGACTGTTTTTCCTTTGGGTAGATACCCAGCAGTGGGATTGCTGGATCAAATAGTAGATCTACTTTTAACTCTTTAAGGAATCTCCATACTGTTTTTCGTAGAGGTTGTACTAATTCACATTTCCACCAGTAGTGTATAAGTGCTCCCTTTTCACCTCATCCATGTCAACATCTATTGTTTCTTGACTTTTTAATAATGGCCATTCTTGCTGAAGTAAGGTGGTATCACACTGTGATTTTAATTTGCATCTCCCTGATAATTAGTAATGTTGAGAATTTTGTTATATGTCTGTTGGCCATTTGTATATCTTCTTTTGAGAAATGTTTATTCATGTCATTTGCCCACTTTATAGGATTATTTGTTTTATTTTTTTTCTTGCCAATTTGTTTGAGTTCCGTGTAGATTCTGGATACTAGTCTTTCATCAGAATCATGGTTTGCAAATATTTTCTCTCATTCTGTTGGTTGTCTGTCTACTCTGCTGATTATTTCTTTTGCTGTGCAGACACGTTTTAGTTTAATTAGGTCTCTTTTATTCATTTTTGTTTTTGTTCCATTTGCTTTTTGGGTCTTAGTCATAAATTCTTTGCCTAAGCCAATGTCCAGAAGAGATTTTCCAATGTTATTTTCTAGAATTTTTATGGCCTAAGGTCTTAGATATAAGTTTGTGATCCATCTTTAGTGATTTTTGTATAAGGTGAGAGATGGGGATCCAGCCTCATACTTCTACATGCAGCTTGCCAATTTTTCCACCAGCATTTATTGAATAGGGTGTTCTATTCCCAATATATGCTATCATATGATTTGTCAAAGATCAATTGGCTGTACATATTTGACTTTATTTCTGGGTTCTCTGTTCTGTTCCATTGGTCTAAGTGCCTATTTTTGTAGAATTACCATGCTTTTTTTGTAACTATAGCCTTGCAGTGTAATTTGAAGTCTGGTAATGTGATACCTTCAGATTTGTTCTTATTGATTACTATTGCTTTGGCCATTCTGGTTCTTTCCTGATTCCATGTGAATTTTAGGATTGTCTATTCTAGTTCTGAGAAAAATTATGATGGTATTTTAATGGGAATTGCACTGAAGCTGTAGATTGCTTTGAAACATATGGTTATTTTCACAATATTTGATTCTTCCCATCCATGAGCATGAGATGTGTTTTCATTTGTTTGTGTCATTGGTAATTTTCCTTAGCAGTGTTTTGTAGTTTTCTTTGTAGAAATCCCTCATCACATTGTTAAGTATATTTCTAGGTATTTAATTTTTTGCACCTGCTGTAAAAGGGATTGAATTCTTTATTTAATTCTCAGCTTGGTCATTCTTGGTGTGTAGCAGTGCTACTAATTTGTGTACATTGATTTTGTAACCTGAGACTTTACTGAATTCATTGATCACATCTAAGAGTCTTTTGGAGGAATCTTTAGCGTTTTCAAGGTGTATGATCATATCATCAGTGAACAGTGATAGTTTAACTTCCTCTTTTCCAATTTGGATGCTCTTCATTTCTTGATCTCGGCTGATTGTTCTGGTGGGGATTTCCAGTGCTATGTTGAATATAAGTGGTGAAAGTGGGCATCCTTGTCTTCTTCCATTTCTCAGGGGAAATGCTTTCAACTTTTCCCCATTCAGCATGATGTTGGCTGTAGGTGTGTCATATATAGCTTGTATTATTTTGAAGTAAGTCCCTTATATCCCTAGTTTTTTGAGGGTTTTTATCATGAAAAGAGGCTGAATTTTATTGAGTGCTTTTTTGCATCTGTTGAGATAATCGTATGGTTTTTGTTTTTAATTCTGTTTATGCTATATAACACATTATTTACTTGCATGTAGTAAATCATCCCCAATCATGATATATTTTTTTATGTGCTATTGGAATGTTAGCTAGTATTTTGTTGAAGATTCGGCATCTATATTCATAAGGGATATTGATCTGTAGTTTTCTTTCTTTGTTGTGTCCTTTCCTGGTTTTGTAATTAGGGTAACATTGACTTCATACAATGATTTAGGGAGGATTTTCTTTTTCTCAATCATTTGGAGTATTTTCAGTAAGACTGGTACAAATTTTTCTTTGAATGTCTAGAGAATCAAGCTGTGAATGTATCTATTGCTGGGCTTTTCTTTTTTGTTTGCAATTGTTTTATTACTGATTCTCTCTCGCTGCTTGTTATCAGTCTGTTCATGTTTTCTATTTCTTCTTGATTTAATCTAGGGGAGTTGTATATTTCCAGGGAATTTATCCATTTCCTGTAGTTGTTCTAGTTTGTGCACATAAAGGTGTTCATAGTAGTGTTTAATTATATTTTATATGTCTGTAGTATTGGTTGTAGTGTCTCCAGTTTTATATCTAGTTGAGTTTATCTGGATCTTCTTTCCTCTTTTCTTGGCTAATCTCATAATGGTCTATCAATTTTGTTTATCTTTCAAAGAATAGGTGTTTTGTTTCCTTTATCTTTTCAATTTTTTTTTCAGTTTTATGTAGTTATTCTTTATTTCTTTTCTTCTGCTGGCTTTGGGTTTAGTTTGTTCCTGTTCCTCTAGTGCTTGAAGTGTAATATTAGGGTGTCAATTTGTTCTCTTTCAGACTTTATGATGTAGGCATTTAATGCTATAAACTTTCCTCTTAGCACTGCTTTAGCTGTATCCCAGATGTTTTTATCACTTATGTCACTATTGTCATTCATTTGAAACAGTTTTAAATTTTCATTTTGATTTCATTGTTAACTAATAATTATTCAGGAACAGACTATTTAATTTCCATGTATTTATATGGTTTTAAGGGCTCCTTTTGGAGTTGATTTATTATTTTATTCCACTGTGGTTGAGAAGATGCTTGATATAATTTTGATTTTCTTAAATATATTGAGAATTATTTTGTAGTCTATTATATGATCTATCTTCGAGAATGTTTCATGTGCTGATGAGATAAATGTATATTCTGCATTTGTTTGGTAGATTGTAAACCGCTGTTAAATCCATTTGGTCTAAATTGTAGTTTAAGTACATTGTTTCTTGTTGACTTTCTGTCTCAATTATCTATCTCTGGCTGTCAGTGGAATATTTAAGTCTCCCACTATTAATGTGTTACTTTCTATCTTATTTCTTAGGTCTGGTACTAATTGTTTTCTAAATCATGGAGCTCCAGTATTAGGTGCATATAAATTTAGGATTAGTCTATTTTTTCTTGGGTTGATTCTTTTATCATTATATAATGATCTTTTTTTTTTTTTTACTGTTGTTACTTTAATGTCTGCTTTTTTTGATATAAGAATAGCTACTCCTGCTCATTTTTTGTGTCCATTTGTGTGCAATATCTTTCTCCCTCTTTACTTTGAGTTTATATGAATCCTTAGGTGTTAAGTGAGTCTCTTACAGACAGCTGATATTTGGTTCGTGATATTTTATCCATTCTGCCTTTCTGTATTTGTTTAGTGGAGCATTTAGGCCATTTACATTCAACACTAATATTGAGAAGTGAGGTACTATTCTCTTCATCATATTGTTACACAGATACCCTGTTTTTTAAATTGTGTTATTGATTTATAGGCCCTGTGAGTTTATCCTTTCAAGAGGTTTCATTTTGGTGCATATCGAGCTTTGGTTTTGAGATGTAGAGTTACTTTTAACATTTCTTGTAGTGCTGGTTTGGTACTGGCATATTCCTTCAGCATTTGTTTCTCTGAAAATGACTTTATTTCTCCTTCATGTATGAGACTTAGTTTTACTGGATATAGAATTCTTGGCTGACAGTTATTCTTTTTAAGGAGGCTAAAGATAGGATCCCAATCCCATCCAGCTTGTAAAGTTTCTGCTGAGAAAACTGCTGCTAGTCTGGTAGCTTTTCCTTTATAAGTTATCTGATGCTTCTGTCTCATAGCCCTTAGGTTTTTTTCCATCATGAATTTAGATAGTGTGATGACTATGTGCCTTGGTGAAAATCTTTTTGCAATGAATTTCCCAGGAGTTTTTTGAGCTTTTTGTATTTGAATATCTAAATCTCTAGCAAAGCCAGGGAAGTTTTCCTCAATTATTTACTCAAAGAAGTCTTCCATGCTTTTAGCCTTCTCTTCTCATGTAGGAATACCAGTTATTCTTAGGTTTGATCATTTTACATAATCTCATTTAATAAGACTTTATTTCTTTGGATTTTTACTTCTTTATCTTTGTATGATTGGGTTAATTCAAAATCTGTATCTTCAAGCTCTGAAATTCTTTCTTTTACTTGCTCTAGCCTATGATCAAAACTTTCCATTGCATTTTATAATTCCTTATGTGTGTATTTCATTTCCAGAAGTTCTGATATTTTTCTTGATGATATTTTTCTCTCTAGAACATTTTTTCATTCAAATCCTGAATTATTTTTTAATTTATTTATGTTGATTTTTATCTTTTTCTGATATCTCTATGAGTAACATAATAATCAACTTTCTGAATTATTTATCTTGTATTTCCAAAATTTTATTTTGATTTAGATCCAGTGCTGGGGACCTAGTATAATCTTTTCAGGATGTTATACAACCCTGTTTTGTCATATTACCAGAATTACTTTTATGGTTTCTTCTCATTTGGGTAGACTATTTCTTCTCATTGTTCTTGAACTTATTTTTGATTTGACTTTTTTTTTTTAATTTTATTTTTTCTCCCTTAAGAATATTACTTTAGGGCCGGGCACAGTAGCTCATGCATGTAATCCCAGCACTTTGGGAGGCCAAGGTGGGAGGATCACCTGAGGTCAGGAGTTCGAGACCAGCCTGTCCAACATGGTGAAACCCCATCTCTACTAAAAATACAAAAATTAGCTGGGCATGGTGGCACGTGCCTGTAATCCCAGCTACTTGGGAGGCTGAGGCAAGAGAATAGCTTGAGCCCAGGAGGTGGAGGTTGCAGTGAGCAGAGATCGTGCCATTGCACTCCAGCCTGGGTGACAGAGCAAGACTCTGTCTCAAAAAAAAAAGAAAAGAAAAAGAAAAAGAAAAAGAAAAAAAAGACTGTTACTTTAATGTTTATAGTTTGTTATAGCCTAATTTAGATATTGGTGCTTTTAGGGGTAAAGACTCTGTATGCATTTCTTGGTTATAGAGAGTCTTTGTATAATGGTTTCCTCAGATGCTAGATGTTGTAACAATGTACTAGGTGTGCGATAAAGTTCACTGTCTCCTATGAGGCTGAAATGGTAGAGGTCTCTTGAAGATTATCTCATTTCCCTGTGGTATGTACTTCTTTATATATTTAATTTTTCCCCAGTATTTTATTTATTGAGTTGATTTTTCAGGCTTCAGAACAGTAAGGGATGTGTTCCTGAGTAGGAACTGGCTGTAGCTAAAGCAGGTGGGTAAATGCAATACACAATGGTAGCCAGAGGTCCAAACCTTGATGAAAGTGGCTGAGGGAGTTCTCAATTAGATGCAGTAAGGTATTATCAGGGGAAAGGGTGGGAGCCACCTCAGCTCATCTGCCAGTTTAGCATGAAAGCTATCCACCTCCCAGATTTATTTATTTCCGAGTATTCAGACAGGCACCTGTTTTCATCTGAAGGAATATCAATGTTCCAAGTGAAGAAGAATTGTGACTCTGCCCCTCATGCAAGCCTGAATTTGTGGGGTGCCCTTCTTGTGGGGAAGCAGCCAAAGAGAAGTGTTCCAGAAAGGCTGTCAATAGGTGCACCCATGCTGAGCTCCTGTGGTAAAGCTCCAGCTATGTCTGCAGTGGTGGACAAGGAGATAAAGGTGTCCCCCTCTTCAATGCCCTTCATGAGCACCAAGGCTGCCTGATTGTTGGGATAGAGCTGCAGACTTTCCCTGCTCAGCCCAGCACTGCAATTGTCTCTCCCTGCTGAAAGAAACTTCCCACCAGAGGACAGAACTGGGACTCAAGGCCTGCCATTCAGATTTCTTTGTCCCATGGGATATTTCCTTGACTGTTGCAGGAAGTCAGGGACCCCGAACGGAGGTATTGGCTGAAGCCATGGCAGAAGAACATAAATTGTGAAGATTTCATGGACGTTTATTAGTTCTCCAAATTAATACATTTATAATTTCTTACCCCTGTATTTACTGGAGTCTCTGAACATAAATTGTGAAGTTTTTATGGACATTTATCACTTCCTCAATCAATACTCCTGTGATTTCCTATGCCTGTCTTTACTTTAATCTCTTAATCCCATCATCTTCGTAAGCTGAGGATGTATGTCGCCTCAGGACCCTGTGATGATTGCGTTAACTGCACAAATTGTTCGTAAAGCATGTGTGTTTAAACAGTATGAAATCTGGGCACCTTGAAAAAAGACCAGGATAACAGCGATGTTCAGGGAGCAAGGGAGATAACCATTAGGTCTGACTGCCTGAGAGCCAGGTGGAACAGAGCCATATTTCTCTTCTTACAAAAGCGAATAGGAGAAATATCAATGAATTCTTTTTCTCAGCAAGGAACAGCCCTGAGAAAGAGAATGCATTCCCAGGGGTAGGTCTCTACAATGGCCTCTCTGGGAGTGTCTGTCTTATACGGTTGCAGATAAGGGATCAAATAAGCCCTGGTCTCCTGTAGGGCTCCCAGGCCTATTAGGATGAGGAAATTCCTGCCTAGTAAATTTTAGTCAGATTGGTTGTCTGCTCTCAAATCCTGTCTCCTGATAAGATGTTATCAATGACAATGTGTGCCCAGTGGGACATGAAACTTCATTAGCAATTTTAATTTTGCTCTGGTCTTGTGTTCTCGCTCTGCCCTCATTTGCCTTGTGATATTTTATTGCCTTGGGAAGCATGTGATCTCTGTGACCCACATTCTATTCGTACACTCCCTCCCCTTTAAAAATCACTAATAAAAACTTGCTGGTTTTGCGGCTCAGGGGGCATCACAGAACCTGCCAACATGTGATGTCTCCCCCGGACACCCAGCTTTAAAATTTCTCTCTTTTGTACTCTTTCCCATTATTTCTCAGACCGGCTGACAGGGAAATAGAAAAGAACTTAAATTGAAATATTGGGGGTGGTTCCCCCAATACTCGATGTGGTGCTCATCCCCTTCCGCTAAGAGTAGGAGTTCCTGAGAGCCAGACTGCAGTTTAGTTTAACTGGTGTATGGCCTTCCGGGGGCATCCCCCCAGAAAAGGGTTGTAAGATGCTGGAAGTAGGCCAGCATATAAAACCCTAAGCCTAATTTCAAGTAGGGTGCCTACCTTCAAGATGCCCACTTGGTCCTCTTCCAAATGTACTTTACTTTCTTTTCATTCCTGCTCTAAATCTTTATAATAAACTTTCACTTCTGCTTTAAAACTTGCCTCAGTCTCTTCTTCTGCCTTATGCCCCTCAGTTGAATTCCTTCTTCTGAGGAGGCAAAAATTGAGGTTGCTGCAAACCCATATAGATTCACTGCTGATAACAGAATAGCATACTTTCAGATTGCTTTAAAGAATCAAAGTTGACTTATAGAGCCATTAAAAGCCCCTCGGGAAAACTGACTTCATACCTTGTCTACACAGTCCCTGTACAGGGTTTCTGACCTGTGGTAAGTAAAGAGTGTCGCTTTCTGACAGGCCCAGGATGACCCAAATTATCTTGGGACCTTGAAGTGAGGAATTTACCCAATTAATACAGGTATTGCAACCAGGTAGGTATTGGCTGGACTTCAAGGCTTTAAAAATGTGTACTCTGAGATTTCTTATGTAATAAAATTTCAGCAAAGCCAATTTTAAAAAGGAGATTCCATGCCAAATAACTACGCTTGCTGACTTTATGCAAATACTCAGTGTCAGGCCTCTGAGCCCAAGCTAAGCCATCACATCCCCTGTGACCTGCATGTATATGCCTAGATGGCCTGAAGTAACGAAGAATCACAAAAGAAATGAAAAAGGCCTGTTCCTCCATTAACTGATGACATTCCACCACAAAAGAAGTGAAAATGGCCAGTTCCTGCCTTAACTGATGGCATTATCTTGTGAAATTCCTTCTGCTGGCTCATCCTGGCTCAAAAAGCTCCCCCACTGAGCAACTTGTGACCCCCACTCCTGCCCACCAGAGAACAACCCCCCTTGACTGTTTTCCTTTACCTACCTAAATCTTACAAAACGGCCCCACCCCTATCTCCCTTCTCTGACTCTCTTTTTGGACTCAGCCTGCCTGCACCCAGGTGAAATAAACAGCCTTGTTGCTCACACAAAGCCTGTTTGGTGATCTCTTCACATGGACGCAAGTGAAACTCAGGCCAAGTATACTAAGACTAAGGCTTTTATTACAAGTAAATGTGTCCTACTATGATTTTTCCTTAGTAAAATGGGGACTGGAGAGAGAAAAACTATGTTTCAGGAAAAAAAAAAAACTATAGTACACCTGTTGTTAGATTCTAGTCTTCTCCACTGTTTATAAGTTTTTGTTATTTTCTGCAATGTGGAGTGGATTCTGAATTCTTTCTGGGCTACAGGTCCCCAAACTGATGCTTTAAATTTTTTCCTTTCTTATTCTGACTTGGACACAATGAAGGTGTTACTACCTCTTTTCTGAGGCCTGGTAAGCTGAAACTTACTCTTTGCAATATAGGCGAGAGAAAAACATGTCAGATTGCCACCACAAACATCCTCTAAAAAGATGCTTTGAGTCTAACATCTGGATAAACTGTGCCCAACATTAACTTTTTCTTCGTCTCTGTAGATATGCGTCTTATTAAAAAATCTGTTTGCCTTCATGACATACAGAGGCCTAGCCCATCTGCAATGCCACCTCCTGATAATGGGAAACAGCTGTTTGGTTAAACTAATCTAGTCCCAGGACTAAGACTCTGACTAAAAAGATACAAGGCAATGTATTTGAATTTGCTCAATCTGTCTTTTTTAATAACCTATAGTGTACTCTTCATTTGACTGCTGTACTAGAACTGTGGGTAAGAATATTAATGTCTTTATAATACACCCCTGAGTACATGCAGATAGCTGCAAAGCAGTGGTTTCACTTCTATTTCCCTGGGCTGACACTTCTAACTATGCCCCCCATGACAGCATAAGAAGGCAGAGTGTTTTGTCACCCATTTTCTATCTGTATAGCTAACACCTTAAGAATAAGGTGTATTGATGCTAAAGAAGGGGATTGAAACTGCCTTTACAAGAGTTATATCTGTGAGCAAAATATAACAGTAAACTAAGCTGACTCAACCTCTATCTTGCCTTTCCTTTAATTATTCCTCAGCTACTGGGCCAAGCTAACTTTGGAAGGCGTTTAGGCTACAGTTTAAATGATAATAGGCCTTGCCCCAAACTCAACTACTTTTGTAAAGCTAATGGGAAACCATCAGGCTCAGGGGAGGAGAGGAGCCTGAGTCTCGCTAATGTGCAGACATAGATTGTTACCCATTATTCCAGAGGTTATAGGATATACAACTTCCCCAGTTACTCCTGCAAGTAACACTACTATTGTAGATTGGCCATTTGAGATATCTTTCCAGGTTTTTTTGCATGTCTGACACCCATGCCTCCACCTGGACCACAAACCCCAGCTCCCATGGCCCCACCCAGAAGCAATTTAGCCCACAAGAGGACAGCTTTGACCCCGTCAGTTCATCTCTGCTTCAGCCAATCAGCAGCAAGCACCTGTTACCTAGCCACCCCCACTCCTCCCCTCAAACTTCCTTTGAAAACCCTTTAACCTACTAGCTTTGGACTAGATGATTTGAGTGCAAACCATAGCCCACATGGTGTGGCAGGCCTCATGTCTATTACACTCCTCCTCTACTACAATGCTGTGGTCTTTCTTTATGCAGTGGGTGGGAAGAACCCCTAGGGTATTGACAAAATGTGAAAGGAAAATTAAAACTTGGGACTACAATTCACTATGCCAAAAGGAAAAAAGAAAAGCTAAAGCTGAGTGATACAAGAAACCGCCTTTTTTGGTCCCTAAGCAGATAGCTACAGATAAAATGTTAAATATCTTCACAGGTAGCTACTTTATGTTCACCTTATCTTATGTAAAGTGCTCAGTCAGGAGCTTTTCTGCCAATGGGTTCGTGGTCTTGCTAACTTCGAAGAATGAAGCTGCAGACCTTCACATGAGCGTTACAGCCCAAAAAGAGTCCACGGACCAGGAGAGTGAGCAGCAGCGCAGTTTATTGAACAAAGCGAAAGCAAAGCTTCCACGTGGTGGAAGGGGACCTGGAAGGATTGCCGTTGCTGGCTTGGGTGGCTAGGGCTTATATCCCTGTGTTAACCCCTCTCCTTTCTTTCTTTTTGTCCATTGAGAGTGGTTCTTTTTTCAGTCCTCCCTTGGAGTGGTTAATTTTGAATCCTTCACTCCATTGGTTAAGAACTCAAAACCCTGAGTCACAGGGGTCTTTTGTGAAAGTCCCCGAACCAGCCCAGGAAGTCCCACCAACTCCACCCCTCAATGCCAATCTACTGAGCAAGAGATGAATACATAATTGACTAGTCCCCTACCTGCTTCTTTTGCCTTGTAACATGTGGATTACCATACCCTCCTTTTTTTTTAAACTCCAGCCAAATTTTTCTGGTTAAATATCAAAGCCTTCCAAAATCATCTTTGGAGAAAGACACAGACCATTTTTGTGATTCCATGTTTTTTTTTTTTTCTTCTGGGCATGTCCTTAAACCTGGCAAAATAAATCTTTAAACTGGATTGAGACCTGTCTCTGTTACCTTTTGGTTTACAATGGAGCTAATATTGAGCCACATATATTACGTATATGTGGCTTTCCAAAGGAGTTGCTGGAAACCGAAGCTGAGGTAACAGCAGGGGCTCATTGAAGCCCCACCAAGTTCGAGCTTCTCCTCAGGTGGAACTGGTAAGTCCTCCTAAGCCCTGGACCTCCCTTTGGTTAATGGTCCTTGATTTATTCTGAGCTGGTTTTCTCCTAGGAAGTTGTTGTTTAAGGATCCTAATTCTAGTTCAGGGATGCATTCTAAAGAGACTTCTCTATTGCTTTTTCTCCTAAAATTTATCTTAACTCGGCTTGTCTGTGTGCATTTGCATGAGGAACTAAACTGTTTTCATAGATAAATGAGAAACTGAGTTTTTCAGCTCTGAAGAGAAAGGGTGCTTGCTCCTCCCAGCCAAAAGGCAACCCTGGGTGACCGTGGGCCTCGTAGGAGTGTCTGGGGGGTTGACCCCCCGTGACGTTCAGTGGCCCTGCAGGGAAGTCCCCAACAAAAATTAATTTAAGAAATGGCTAGTCCAGGAAATGCATATAAGGTCTAAGGTTTAATCACCCAGCGTTTCTCCCCATACGTTTTTGTTTTGTTTTGTTTTTGAGATGGAGTTTTGCTCTTGTTGCTCAGGCTGGAGTGGAATGGTGCGATCTTGGCTCACTGCAACCTCTGCCTCCTGGGTTCAAGAGATTCTCCTGCCTCAGCCTCCCGAGTAGCTGGGATTACAGGCACGCACCACCACAACCAGCTGATTTTTTTTTTTTTTTTTTTTTTTGTATTTTTAGTAGAGACGGAGTTTCGCCATGTTGGCCAGGCTGGTCTTGAACTCCTGACCTCAGGTGATCCACCCGCCTCGGCCTCCCAAAGTGCTGGGATTACAGGCGTGAGCCACCGTGCCCAGCCTTTTTTCTTTTCTAAAGCAAATTAATACAGGACATAACTTTCACATGGACAGGACTTGTCCTTTCAACATCATGGCCCTAAGGAGTCATAAACATATTTTGGTGGATCAGAATCTAAAATTGAAGGGTGTAATGGCAAGTCACTTTTAGTAAATATCTCTTCATGCAAATTACTAAATTATCTTCCTCTCTTTCCCATCTTGTCCTTTAATTCAAACCTATTTCAACAAACCTGCTTTATCTACTTTTAGTTTTTCTTCAACACAATTATATACCTAACCAATCTTTTTAAATTTCTTTGTTCTCATTTTTTACCAAATAATTGGGCACTTATTCTGAAATTATTGTTTGTTGTGGTTTATTCTGTTCTGTCTTTGTTTACTTTGAGTAAACAGATGTGATATTTTGATTATGAGTATACTACAGGGACATCAACAGTTAAACATAGGTTTTTTTCCTCTGCAAAAGCCTTGGAATAAGCTGGTTACAAATAGTATGTTTGGACACAATATCATTTAATAGCTATTAATGTTACTGGTGGCAAATCCATGTGGGTCTGCAGTAACCTCAATTCTTGCCTCCTCAGAATAAATAATTCGACCAAGAAGACATAAGGCAGAAGGAGAGACCGAGGTAAGTTTTAGGGCAATAATAAAAGTTTATTAAAAAGCTTTAGAACAGGAACAAAAGGTAGAAAGGTACACTTAGAAGAGGGCCAACTGGGTGACTTGCAAGACAAGTGTACTGTTTGACCTTTTGACTTGGGGTTTTATATGTTGGCATACTTCCGGGATCTTGCATCCCTTCTTCCCATATTCATCCCTTCTTCAGCACATGAAAGCTTTTTAAATAACATCGATGAATGTTTGAAAATATATAAATTGCTAGTACTACAAATTGCTCATACACAGTGTAGAATAGCAATTTAACAACCTTAAATATGATATTTTATAGTATTTCTAAGTCAACAATACTAAGATGTCAATAATAATGTTTCATCTGTATATTAAGTGAAGTTTTAGACAATTCAGAAATAAAGATGTTATTTGAAATTATTTTTTGTAATAGCTTAATTGTGATATAATTCACGTGACATGTAATTTACCTACGTAAAGTGTTACTCACTTTAGTTTAATGTTTTTAGTAAACAGTTTGATCTCTGTGTCCACAGGTTCTACATCCTCAATTTAACCAACCCCAGATTGAAAATATTTTTAAATAAAAATAAATAATAACTATATGACAATAAAAATAATACAAATAAAAACAACACAGTATAACAACTATTTACGTAGAGTTTTCATTAAGTATTTTAAATAATTTAGAGATAATTTGAAGTATATGGGAGGATGTGTGTTATTTGCAAATATTATGCCATTTTATATAAAGGGCATAGGCATTTGAGATTTTGGTATTTGCAGGGGTCCTGGAACCAATGCACCCATGGGTACCAAGGGACAACTGTATTCATAGAGTTTTGCAACCATCGGCACAATCACTTTTATAACATTTTCCACATCCCCAAAAGATATCCTATCCTTTCTAGCAGTCATTCCGCATTTCCTCCTATCCCCCGAGCCCTAGGAAACTACTTGGCTAATTTTTATCTCTATGGTTTGCTTGCACTGTATATCACATATAAATCAAACCATGAAATACATTATTGTGTTCTTACTTTTATTTTCAGATTCTTCATTGCCAGTCTTTGGAAATACATTTGAAATTTGTGTGTAGATCTTGTGCCCTGCCTCCTTGATTACTTAATGTATTAGATTATTAGATTTATGAGTTTTTAATTAATTCTTAGTATTTTCTATGTACAAGATGATGTTATCTACAAGTAGAGATAGGTTATGTTTTTCTTTCCAAGATGGATATTTATTTATTTATTTATTGCCTAATCTCCCTGGCTAAGAACTCCAATAAAGTTTTTCAAAGAAGTGTCAAGAGTGGACATTCTTGGCGGGGGGTGGTGGCTCACGCCTGTAATCCCAGCATTTGGGAGGCCATGGCAGGTAGATCACCTGAGGTCAGGAGTTCAAGACCAGCCTGGCCAACTTGGGGAAACCCTGTCTCTACTAAAAATACAAAAATTAGCCGGGCGTAGTGGCACGCGCCTATAATCCCAGCTACTAGTGGGGGCTGAGGCAGGAGAATTGCTTGAACCCAGGAGGTGGAGGTTGCAGTGAGCCTAGATTGTGCCACTGCACTCCAGCCTGGGCGACAGCACGAGACTCCATCTCAAAAAAAAAAAAAAAAGTGGACATTCTTATTTTGTCCCTCATCTCAGTGGGATAACATTAGGACTTTGACTATTAAGTATGATGTTAGCTGAGAGATTTTGTAGATGCTTTTTATCAGATTGAGGATGTTTTCTTCTATTCAACTTCATTGAGTGGTTTTTTTTTTTTTTCGTGAAAGGGTATTGGATTTTTTTCAAATGCTTTATTTCATCTATTGAGATTATCGTGTACTTCATATCCTTTATTCTAATGATAAAGTATGTGGTGTATTAGATTAATTGTTTTCACATGTTGAAATATCTTTGCAATCCTGAGATAAATCCCGCTTGGCAATGGTGTGTAATCCATTTTATATGTTGATGGATTCATTTTGCTGGTTTTTTTTCTTGAGGTCTTTTTCATGTGTAATTCACAATAGACAGTGGTTTGTAGCTTTCTATTTTCTGGCATCACGGTAAAAATGGCCTCATTGAATGAGTTGGGAAATGTTTAAACTTTTCTATATTTTAGGAGAGTTTTTGAGTGTTGATATCAATTTTTCTTTAAACATTTATTAGAAATCCCCTGTGAGCCACCTGGGGCTGGGCTTTTTTTTTTTTTTTTTTTTTTTTTTTTGATTCTCTATTTTAGTGAAAGATTTATTTAGATTTTCTGTTTCTTCTTTGTTAACTTTTGGAATTAGTATCTTTCTATCGTAGCTAGTTGTCTATTTTACCTTCAATATCTAGTTCATTGGCATATAACGCTCATAATATTCCCTTATAATCCTTCAGTATTGCTTGGTACCTCTTCACATCGTTTGTAGTGATTTTGGCAAATATATTTCTATATGTCAGAGGTCCAACAACACAATTATATATATATATTATTTTAAAAATTACTTGCCAAATCATTTAAGAGAATAAACAAAGAAGAAGTGTATATTATGTCTTGTATAACTACATAATCGCCTTTATCCATATTCGTGTGTGTGTGTGTGTGTGTGTAACTGAACTATTGTCTGGAGAAATTATCAGCCTGAAGAAATTCCTTTATTATTTCTTACATGTAGCTCTTCTAGCAAAAATTCTATTAGTTTTTTTTTCTATTTTAGGAATATTTTTATTTCTATTTAATGTTATAAGACTAGTATTGCTGATTGTAGAATTATTGGTTGATCGTATTTTTTTTCTTTCAGTAATTTGAATATGTCATCTCGATGCCCTGTGGGCTGCTTCATTTCTAATATGAAGTGTCAATTTCCTTAAGATTGTTTTATAAGTGACGAGTCATTTTTCTCCTCTTTCAAAATTTTGTCTTTTGACTAGTCTTTCAGCGTTTTTACCATAATATAGCTAGGTGTGAATCTCTTTCTGTTTATTCTACTTAGATTTTGTTCAGCTTCTTGGATGTAAAGATTAACTTTTTTCAACAAATTAGGGAAGTACTTAACCCTTATTTTTTAAAGTCTATTTTTGCTCCTTTCTCTGCTCTCTAACAGTCTCATTTTACCAATGTTGGGACCCTTAATTATATCTCCATTTTTCTTAGGCTCTGTTAATTTTTCTTCATTAATTTTCTTTCTGTTTCTCAGATAGCTTAATTTCTGTCAGCTTGTGTTAATGTTCATGTATTCTTTATTTGTAGTTACCCTGAGGATTAAAAATAATATTCTAAAATTATAACACTCTATTTTGAAATGATACCAAATTAACTCAAAATGCATACAGTCTACTCTTAAACAGCTCTATCTCATTTTTATGTCGCTGTTACAAATATATCTTTATACGTTATGTATTCATTATCATATATTTATATTTATTTCTGTGTCTACCTTTAAATTATTTGCAAATAAAGTAGAATTTCAAACCAAAATTATAGTACTACTGCTTTTTATATTTGCCACTGTATATATATTACCGGAGATCTTTATAGCTTCATATGGCTACAAGTTACTGTCTAGTGTATTTTTATTTCCAACATGAAAGTCTCTTTTGAGCATTTCTTAAGGACCACTTCTAATGACAGGCCTGTTTCCTTATTTTATTCTGTGTATGAGTCAAACTTTCCTGTTTCTCTGCATGCCTCATAATTTTTTTGAAAACTGGACATTTTAGATAGCACTTTGTGGAAATGCTGGATAACTGATTTCCCAAAGGCTGTTGTTGTTGTTTGTTTATTTTTTAATTGATTGGCGTACTAATTTATTGAGGTATATTATCTCCACATCCAATAAAAAGCCCTTAATATTGTTCCTAAGAAGGCTCAGCCTTGGGTGTGACCACAGTCACCATGGAATGGCAATGGCTTCATCAGGGTTCTCTTTGACTGTCTCTTTCACTGATTATGCACAGATGGTAGGCTGCACTTATTATGGACTGATTGCTCTATTGTTTTTAATAACACCCTAGGGGATAAATTATTTCACAGTTTGACACAATTAAATTTTGACTCCTTTGCAGTGATAATTTTTGTTTTGTTTTGTTTTGTTTTGTTTTGTTTGTTTGTTTTTGTTTTGAGACAGAGTTTCACTCATGTTGCCCAGGCTGGAGTGCAATGGCGCGATCTCGGCTCTCTGCAACCTCAGCCTCCTGGGTTCAAGCAATTCTCCTATGTCAGCTTCTCGAGTAGCTGGGATTACAGGCACCTGCCACCGTGCCTGGCTAATTTTTTGTATTTTTAATAGAGACGGGGTTTCATCATGTTGGTCAGGCAGGTCTCGAACTCCTGGCCTCAAGTGATCTGCCAACTTCGGCCTCCCAAAGTGCTGGTATTACAATCGTGAGCCACCACGCCCGGCTTGTAGAGATAATTTTTGCCATCAGTGTTTGATGATTGTTCTGATCCCAAAGGAGCTCTTTTTAGCTATCTCCTTTGGTGATTCTTCCCTTGAGGAGAAGAACCTTAGTGTTTCTCTTCTCCCTCAGTTATGTGTTGGCAGAAGCAAAATTCTAAGCTAGTGCTTCATGGAAGTTGGGGCTTCCTTTTTTGACCTGGAATTTCATTTTCCCCTGGAATTTCTTATATAGCTGAAAGGGGCAAAAAATGCTGAGTTCTGCTCCCTCATGGAAGATATCATAACACTCCACTGCTAAATGGAGGGGGAGGGGGTCCTATGTCCTTAGCTGCACCTTCCTGGAGCGTGGCTCCCATCACAATGGGCTAGGAGCAGGAGCGAGGGTATAGGTTATAGTTCAAATGCAACAACTTCTCACTGCTGTTACTGAGTTTTAGTATTTTTTGAGTAATACTAAAATTTTTTAAATTATGTGGTTTTAAAAATAATTTTTACCAGTTATGCTTGTTTTCTGGGGAAATGGGTTCACTGTGTTTTGCACTGCCATTCCAAAAGTGAAACTTTAATTTTTTGGTATTCTTAAACTTATTTCAATTCACATAGATTTGGTCTTGATACATATTTCCTCATAAATTCTAACTGTGACATAATTTTAATGAAAAAATAGAAATTTTTTCAGTATGTATATTTTTAATTTTAAAACAATCTCAAATGTACAGAAAATTTGCAGGTATAGTATAAATACTATATTTCCAAACAAATTGATAATTCACTAACCTGTTATAGCCCTTTTAGTTTTCTCCATGTTTAAAAAAAATTCCCCAACAAAACCAAAATGCAATCATCAAAATCAAGAAATTAACATAGATGCTTCACTATCATGTAATCCTCAAACCACAATCAAATTTCAACAAGTGTCTCAATAATGTTTTTTAACACAAAAGGTACCATTTCAGAAGCTCATATTGTATTTGTTTCTCATGTCGGTTTAGACTCTTTGAGCTGGGAAGATTCATTTTGTGTTTCTTTTACTTTTATGCCTTTGACATTATGAAAAAATATAGGTAGTTATTTTGTACAGTGCTACTCAGTTTGGTTTTTTATTAGATTTCTGTCATGTATCTTTGGCGGTTGTATTACTTTTCTATTGCTGCATAACACATCAATACAAGCAATGGCTTGAAACAATGTATATTTATTTTCTTATAATTTCCATGGTTTCAAATTTTAAGCAAGGCTTACCTGCTCAGTGTCTCACCGGATTGAAATTGAGGTGTCAGGGCTATATTTTAAGCTCAGAGTTCTCTTCCAATTGCACTGGTTGTTGGCTGAACATATTTCCTTGCTGCTGTTAACCTGAACTCTTAAACTCCTGAAGGCTGCCTTTCGTAACTTGCCCATGACTCTTTCCATAACATGGTTTTTCAAGATTATCAGAAAAGCACCTATTGTTGCTTTGAGTCTCATCCCTAGACCTTTTTTTAAAGGTGTATTAGTTTGTTAGGGCTGCCATAGCAAAATATCATAGACTAATAGGCTTAATAAAAATTTATTTCTCATGGTCTTGGAAGCTAAAAGTCCAAGAGGAATTGTCAAGATTGGTTTCTTCTGATGCCTCTCTCCTTGGCTTACAGATGGCTACCTTCTCACTGTTTCATCAAACGGTCTTTTCTCTGTGCACAAATGCATCACTGGCATCTTTCTGTATGTCCTAATCCCTTTTCTTATAAGCATACCAATCCGGTTGGACTAGGGCCCAATTTTAATGGCCTCATTTATCTTAATTACCTTTTAAAAGTCCCTATTACTAAATACAGCCACATTCTGAGGTACTGGGGTTTCATACTTCAATATATGAATTCTGATGGGAAACAATTCAGCCAATAATACAATAATTGGGTCAAACCCACAAAGAATAACCTTACTTTTATTACCTTAAAGCCAATGGATTTGTGACTTTAATTACACCTATAAAATTTCTTCACCTTGTTATATGATATAATCTAAATTTATTCAAGGGGGTGATATGCTATCATATATACAGGTTCTGCCCACAGTCGGGGAGGTATTGTATAAGGGAGTGATTCATTGAGGGTCGTGGTGGAATTCTGACTACCATAGCAAAAATAGCCCCAATGTAATGCTGCATTGTTCTCAATGGATGCACGATTGTTTAAACATTGAAAACCATGGGTAATGCCTGCAATACCTCCAATTACATTCCAACAAAACAGACTTCATCTAGTTTTCTCTTTTCCCATATTTGCAAGTCTTGTCTCAGGAAAGTGAGAAACCTAACCCCCATTACCCTTAATATATACTTGATTAATCCCCTGGTATGTAACTATTTACCCATTACTACCACCACCTCTTCCTCTACACTGATACCTTTCTTACCCCTCTCAGGCTCCAACATCCTATATTCAGCTGCTTGCTTACTTGTTGGTGTGGATGCTCTTCTTACACTACTTTGGATCTGACACCAAGTGCCAGACCAGCCATTTGCATTCTAACTCTGGACACTGGCATCATAACTCTGCTTGAATTCTGACTTCCTCTGCTTCATGCACTCTTCCGGTACCTACCAGCACACATACACAGACACTTTTCTTACCCTGCTATATTAAATTTTGAAATAATACAATAATTTATTTCATTATATTTCAAAATAATTATAAATGTGGTCAGTTTTCTTTTTCCAGCTACACATATTTTTTTTCTGGTTAAATATATTTGTTTTATTCATCTGACCTCCTATATTTGTAATAAAGTAGTATAGATAGTGGATTCTGTGAATAGATGTTTTCGTATATACTGACATTGTTTTATTTCTGTGGGGAAACCCCATGGCATAGTTGGGAAAAATAAACATGAACTTTTTGATAGACTGTACTTCAAATACCAACTCTACCACATTGAACAGTGGTAGCTGTTGATTAAGGATAACTTCTGTGTCACAAGAATATAGTTTTGGTGATTGAGAAACTAAAAAGCTTTTTTGTTTGTTTCTCATAGATTATAAAGCAGTGTTTTTAACCTAATTTGGAATTATGAAAACCTAATAAAAGACATAGGCCCTTTTTCCCTCCAAATAATGCCTATCCATAAATACATGCTCAGGCATACCCACGCAAACATACTTACACACACACACACACACACACACACACACACACACAGAGTTTCGCAGTTAGCAGAAAATTTAAAGGCTTTCAATCCCTCTAGTTTGAGAATCCTTGACTTATAGTTAACTGACTTACTGCTGCATCAAGGTAAAATTACCTCCACAAAATGGACCAAATAAAACCCGTAATGGCCACTCAACTGATCATCTCAAGTGCTGCAGGCCATTTACTTTTTTCTTTTGCTCCTACAATCACAGATTAGCATGTAGATCAACGGACAAGTGCCTGCATCATCTTGAGGATATGCCAAACCAATGCAAACGATATATATATTTATATACATATAGAATAAATTCCTGCACACTAATTGCCTGTGTATCTCAATAGCACACAACAGATGCCCTTTTCCCAAATTTACAGAATTTAAAAAGTAACAATTCTTTTCTTGATGTTTCACTTGATATATTTCAGATATTACCTGTTGATAACTGAGAGAATATTCTTGACAATTTTTGCAGATAGAGCTAAATAAACCAACTAGTTTACTCAAAATTATATAAAATGGTCTGTACAACCATTAATAAAAGCAGTTGATCTTGTCAGTCTCTAGATAATTCATATATGTATTATATATAATATATATTATTTTGTATAACTGATATACATAACATTTACATTTTACTTAATTGTGGACTTTTTATGGATAGTGTGAAAACTAGTGTGTCCCCGATTTTATCCAAATTTTGTAGACTTTGGTGAATTTTCCCCTTTTGTACAAAAAGGACATTTTATTCCTGAAATAAATTCCCGTATTTTATCCATTTCCTGTAACCAAGTATACCTGAAAATATCTGGGGAATTCTTATGTATCCCGAACATCCACCCTTTAGATCAACTAGCCAGCTTGCTGGAAACTATATTGTTTCCTTCCCTGCAGATTCAAATAGTTGACATTTGCTTGTTTTGGTCAGCATGCATTCATTCTTCCTAATTCTTAGTAATAATATCCTGGGTTTCAGTAGGTATGCATCCCTGTCCAACATAGCTAATGCACTTGAAAGAAAGTAGACTCACCTGAGCTTTAGAAGAGGAATCAAACCAATCAGTAAATTTCATCCACTTGTCTCAGTAATTTGTTTGGGGATACAAAAGTTGCAATTTTAAATATGGCAGATAGGGAAGGTTTTACTGATGATGTGACATTTGGGCAAATATTTGAAGAAGATGAGACAATTAGTCATTGTAAGTATCTTGGAAAAGAGTCTTGCCTTTGGCACTCCCAAACCCCTTTACTCTACATTTTATTTTTTATATCACTTATGATCTTCTATCATGCTATATAATTTACTCATTAATGATATTTTTTGTTTGTCATACAATCTTTGTTCAAGTATAGAAGCATGATGAAAGCACAGATCTTTATTTACTTATACACTTCTAGTACTTAGAACAGTGTTTAATACATAATAGTGTTCAAAAATATAAGTTACATTAAGTCAGTAAGCAATTAAAAATTGAGTACCAGCCGTAATAGCTCCTAGTATTCATTGACCGTGTCACTTCAACAGATATTCTCATGTAAACAGCCTCTTGCTTAATTCCCCAGCTAGATTATATGTTGCAGAGGCCCTAGGGATACTTTCTATTATTTCTTACGTATCTGTATGAAAGGTTCCAATTCGTGCTGTGGTTTTGACATAAGAAATGAATCAGTTTTTCCCCACGCCTCCTTTCAATATTTTCAGAATTTACTCAGGTAGAAACAAACAAACAACTAATTCTGAGTATATCAACCTTCTCCATTATTTGGCAAAGCGTCCATTATGGAGTATGATTTTCATTTTCACTTGCGTAATATAAAACTCATTAAAGCATCATGTGTTTGTGTGTGTGTCTATACATGAATTTTCCCAAAATAAAAAGCATTCTTACCAAAAGAAGGATCAGAAAGCTACTGGTAATTTTAAAAGCATAGATTGTCTCCACATCTAAGCTTCACCGTTTGCATATTTCAGACAAGACTATTATATTACCTTTTAGAATGCTCTACTAAGAGTAAATTACATGAAAAATATTTTTTGGAATACATTATTTGTCAAAGTGTAATGCACACCTATGAATGAATGTACACATACATATGCACATTCACAAACACACACATGCTTATATTTAACTACTTTTATTATAAAAAGCTGTCATATTAGCTTTCTACTGTTGCCGTATCAAGTTACTACTAATTTAGCAGCTTAAAGCATCACAATTTTATCTGACAGTTCCATAGGTCAGAAGTCCAGGTACAGTGTGTCCCAGTTGGATCCTTTGCTTAGAGTCTCTCAGACCAAAATCCAGGTGTCAGCTAGAACGTACTCATTTCTGGAAGCTCTAAGGAATAATTTGCTTCCAAGATCATTCAATTTGTTTTACAGAATTTGGTTCCTTGCAGCTATGGGGCTGAAGTCTCTGTTTCCTTTCTGATGTCTGCTAGGAGCCTATCTTGGCTCCTTAAGGCCACCGATATTCTTCATCATGCAGATTCCTCCATAATCAAACCAGTAACGTTGGATTCTTGTTCGTGCTTTGAAACTCTCTAGCTTTCCATTTTACTGCAACTTTGTCCAGAGAGAGTTATCTGATTTTAAGGGTTCATTTTGGCCCATCCACATAATCCAGCATAATCTTCTCATTTTAAGACCACTGAATAATAACTTTAATTATATCTACAAAGTTTGTTTTTCCATATAACTTAATATATCCACAGACTCCAGGAATTCATCCATGATTATCTTTGGGGGCACACTCTGCTTAACACACTTCCCAAACCCAATTTCAGAGTCCCTGCCTTAAATTTTCACCTCTTACCCTGGTACACTTACATCTGGTACTTGAGAATAAGAAGAAACATTCCATTTTAATAATCAAAGATTTCGTATATCTTAAATGCTATTGGAGCCCAAATGAACAGTACTTATTCTTGGATTTTTTGCAGAATTGTTATAGAATGTTAGTCAAAAGCAACTGTACTTTGAGCCTTCTTAGTAGCCCTTCTCCAGCATTAGCTGTTGAAATAAAAGTGAACCAAGTGTAGCATTATGCTTACACAATCTGTTTTAAAGAAAAATAACTGTGATTCTGAAAAATCTGGATTTATAAATTGGAGGTTTTTTTTTTTTTTTTTTTTTTTTTTGAGACGGAGTGTCTCTCACTCTGTCGCCCTGGTTGGAGTGCAGTATCACAATCTCGGCTCACTGCAAGCTCCGCCTCCCGGGTTCACGCCATTCTCCTGCCTCAGCCTCCTGAGTAGCTGGGACTACAGGTGCCCGCCACCACACCCGGCTAATTTTTTTGTATTTTTAGTAGAGACGGGGTTTCACCGTGTTAGCCAGGATGGTCTTGATCTCCTGACCTCGTGATCCGCCCACCTCGGTCTCCCAAAGTGCTGGGATTACAGACATGAGCCACTGCGCCCGGCCAAATTGGAGTATCTTATAGTTAATATTATATTTTATTAACAGGGAAAAACAACTTTACTTAAGACTTTAAACTGATTTTTTAAATACATTTTCCATTTTTTTTTGTACTATGCCTTTTCTGATTATGCTTTGCTTCTTTTTAATGTTTTTAACTAAACCTCTCTTTTTAGAACATACTGTACAAATTTGTTTGGAAACCAGTTTTAAATACTATAATCTGATAGAATGGAGAAATTTTTTTCAGGAAAATAATTTTAAATGCTATGACTAGCTTGATGAATGAATTATACATAAGCAGCTGATATTTGGAGAAGGGATACTAAAGTGACAAATAGAAAAGTGAATATTGGCCTGGCATGGTGGCTCATGCCTGTAATCCCAGCACTTTGGGAAGCCGAGGTAGGTGGATCATGAGGTCAGGAGTTTGAGACCAACTTGGCCAACATGGTGAAACCCCGTCTCTACTAAAGATACAAAAAATTAGCCGGGCATGGTGGCATGTATGTGCCTGTAATCCCAACTACTTGGGAGGCTAAGGCAGGGGAATCGTTTGAACCCGGGAGGTGGAGGTTGCAGTGAGCAGAGATCGTGCCATTGCACTCCAGCCTGGGCCACAGGGTGATACTCCGTCTCAAAACAAAACAAAACAAAACAAAACAAACAAACAAAAAACAAAAACGAAAGAAAGAAAAATGAATATTGACTTTGTTTTTGATTAAAAATTGTCTCCCATTGAATAGGTAAGTATAAGAAACCAGTTGTTTGGAGAGAAGCAATGACATTTCATCTTGCTTCAGTTTGAAATGTTTACAATACACTTAAGTTGGGGGTTATTAAATTCAGAAGCAAAGACACAGAGGACCCCAAACTACCTGCATCATCATCACTTGGGACAGTTCATAAAAATGTAGATTTAGAATCCAGTTCACAACATGAGCTTGAACTGTGAATTTGCATAATTAATAATCTCTAAAGATTGATTCATAAGACTCAAAGTACAATTTTTACGAATTTATTTAAAATGACTATATTTGTTGTTAGATGAGGTGAAAAATTGTAAAGGTTTTTCATGATTGTGATATAGAGTAGTTAATTTTCATCCTAGATTTTAGACTTTTATATTTTAATTTTATTTTGTTCCTAGATATTTTCTAATGAATTCAACTGCCTGAATCCCCTGAAAAAACAAACAAACAAACAAAAACAAACGGTAATTCAGAAGTTCTATAAACATATTAAGTACTCTTTCAAAATATTAAATTCCTGGTAAACAAATATCATTCTAACTTTACGTTTACTGTATTTCTAAACCTTGAAACATTGTTTACTAAGATATAATACCATTATATGTTGCTTAGTGCTTTCAATTCTAACCAAGATGAAGTAGTAGGGATTGGATTTTCTCTCCCAACCAAAATGACTATAACATTACAAAATATATCAAACAACAATTTTCAGTCATTGGACATCAGTAACGGAAAGTGGTATACCTAACAAATGTGGCAAAAATGAGGCATTTCCTAAGAATGGTTGATTTACTGCCTGAAGAAAGCCTTTAGATCACAGAGCAAGGAGGTGAAATTCACAGAAACTAGTGATCTCTGTAAATTATGGAGAAACAATTAGTATTTGAGGAAGAAAAGAAACTAGAGTTTGCAGAACAGAATTCCAGGAATGAGATAGCAACAGTGGAGGAGAGTTCTGGATATCTGCAGAAGGCCCCTTGAGTATGCATACAGAGAAATTCCCAGAGTCTAGTCAAGCAATCACACAGAAGTATTAGGACAATTTTGAGAACCCACACAAGGTCAGGAATACTTCCTGGTTTAAATAGCTAGTCATTAAAAACCCACAAGATTCACATGTCAATAAGTAGAGTGTTCATAAAGGGTTTTGACCCTGTAGTGGGTAAACCTAGCTGTAGATTAAATGTTACTATCATCTATCCTAGTAAACTGAAAAGGAAGACCCCAATGTAACAAACTGTTTTTTAAAGGAACTTAACTGCATCACAGAACAAAACTGGAGGATATTCATAGGTATGTAAAAATATCTAACACCTACAAATGTAAAAGTCACAATGTCCGATATCCAATCAAAGATTTTTAGGTATGCAAAGAATCAAATATAAACCATAATAATGAGAAATAACAAATCAATTGAAATTGACCCAGAATGGGTTCAGTAATAGAATTAGTAAATCAGGGCATTAAAATAGTTTTAATAATTGTGTTCCATATTTTTAAGAAAGTCTAATGAAAATTAAGTATATTAATAAATAGAATTAAAAACCAAATGACCAATTCAATAGATGCAGCAAGAATATTTGATAAAACCTAGCATCCCTTTATGATAAAAGACCCTCAACAAACTAGGTGAAGGGACTATCTCAAATTAATAAAGTCCATATATGGCAAACCCAGAGCCAATATCACACTGAATGGGGAAAAGCTGAAAGCATTACCCTTGGTAACTGCAAAAAGACAAGGATGCCCACTTTTACCACCTCTATTCATCATAATACTGGAAGTCCTAGCCAAAGCAATCAGGCAAAAGGAAGAAATAAAGGGCATCCAAATTGGAAAAAAGGAAGTCAAACTATCACTGTTCACTGACGATATGATCATGTACCTAGAAAAAGAGGAAGTCAAACTGTCACTGTTCACTGATTATATGATCAAATACCTAGAAAACTCTAAAGATTCATCTAAAAGACTCTTAGATCTGATAAATGAATTCAGTAAAGTTTCAATTTACAAAATCAATGTGCACAAATTAGTGGCATTAATACAAACTAATGACCAAGCTCAGAAACAAATCGAGAACTTAATTCCTTTTACAAAAGCTGAAAAAAATTAAATACCTAGAAACAAACTTAACCAAGGAGATGAAGGACTGATAAAGGAAATCACAGATGACACAAACAAATGGAAACACATCCTATGTTCATGGATTGGAAGAATCAATATTGTGAAAATAACCATACTGCCCAAGGCAATCTACAGATTCAATGCGATTCCCATTAAAACACCAACAACATTTTTCCAATAATTCAAAAAACAATCACAAAATTCATATTAAACCAAAAAATAGTTTGAATACCTAAAGACTTATTCTTTAGCCATAGCAAAAAGAACAAATCTGGAGGCATTGCATTACCAAACTTCAAGTTGTAACACAAGGCAATAGTTATCAAGACAGCATGGTATTGATATAAAAGTAGGTACATAGACCAATGGAACAGAATATTCAGAAATAGTTCCAAATATGTACAGCCAACTACGTAATCTTTGATAAAGCATACGAAAACATATATTGGTGAAAGGACATCCTATTTAATAAATGTTGCTGGGAAAACTGACAAGCCACATATAGAAGAGTGAAACTGGATCCTCATCTCTCACCTTATGCAAAAATTAACTCAAGATGGATCGAAGACTTAAATGTAAGACCGGAAACCATAAGAATTCTAGAAAATAACATTGGAAAAACTCTTCTGGACCTTGGCCTAGGCAAAGAATTCATGACTAAAACCCCATTATCATGACTAAGATCCCAAAAGTAAATGCAACAAAAACAAAAATAAATAAACAAATGGGACCCGCCTAAATTAAAAACCTTCTGCACAAGAAAAGAAATAATTAGCTGAGTAAATAGACAACCAATGGAATGGGAGGAAACATTTCCACACTATAAATCCATCAAAGGACTGGTATCCAGAATCTACAAAGAACTCCAACAAATCAGCAAGAAAAAATCTAAATAATTCCATCAGAAAGTTGGCCAATCATATGAACGTATTTCTCAAAAGAAGATACATAAATGGCCAACAGACATGAAATAAATGCTCAACATCGCTAATCATCAGGGAAATGCAATTTAAAACCACAATGAAATACCATCTTACCTCTGCAAGAATGGCCATAATTAAAAGTAAAAAAAAAAACAAAAAAAAACAATAGATGTTGGCATGAATGTTTAAAAGGAAATGCTTAAACACAGCTAGTGGGAATGTATGAATGTATTTTAGTATAACCTCTATGGTAAACAGTATGGAGATTACTCAAAGAACTAAAAGTAGGTCTACCATTCGATCCAGCAATCCCACTACTGGGTATCTACCAGAAGGAAAATAAGTCATTATGTGAAAAAGACACATGCACATGTAAGCTTATTACAGTCCAATTCACAATTGCAAAGTTATAGAACCAACCTAAATGCCTATTGACAAGAAAATGTGTTATGGTCCGGGCATGGTGGCTCATTCCTGTAATCCCAGCACTTTGGGAGACTGAGGCAGGCAGATCATGAGGTCAAGAGATCGAGACCATCCTGGCCAACATGGTGAAACCCTGTCTCTATTAAAAATACAAAAATTATCTGGGTGTGGTGGCACGTGCCTGTAGTCCCAGCTACTTGGGAGGCTGAGGCAGGTTATTTCCTTGAACCCGAAGGCGGAGGTTGCAGTGAGCCCAGATCGTGCCACTGCACTCCAGCCTGGTGACAGAGCAAGGCTCCATCTCAAAAAAGAAAAGAAAAGAAAAGAAAAGAAAAGAAAAGAAAAGAAAAGAAAAGAAAAGAAAAGAAAAGAAAAGAAAAGAAAAGGAAACGTGGTATATATACACCATGGACTACTACTCAGCCATAAAAAGAAACAAAATAATGTCTTTTGCAGCTACTTGAATGGAGCTAGAGGCCATTATTTTAAGTGAAGTAACTCAGGAATGGAAAATCAAATACCATATGTTCTCACTTATAAGTGGGAGTTAAACTGTGAGTACACAAAGGCATACAGAGTGATATAATGTACTTTGTAGTATCAGAAGAGGGAAGGTGGGAGGGGGGTGTGGAATAAAAAGCGACATATTGGGTACAATGTACACTGTTCCATTGATGGGTGACTAAAATCTCAGAATTCACCACTATATAATGCATCCATTTAACCAAAAAACACTTGTATCCCAAAGTTATTGAAATAAAAATAATATTTAAAAAAATTTTAAAAAAGAGGCACTGAGTCACCCGCTAAGATTTTGAGGATTTCCTTTTTTTGCAAATGAAAAATTAACAGAGGCCCAGTGAGGTAAAATGGTTTGTGTAGAATTATAGAACTAATTGGAAGCCATGACCTGAGGCCCAGGTTTTGCCTCTGCTTGTCACAGGTTAAGCAGTGGACAAGTTAAGATTTATAGAAAGGGAGCTTCTAAGATAAGAGCGAAAAATACAATGGTATATAATATCATCAGCCATAGCCATTCCCAAAGTTATTCTTTTATAAGCTAATGCATCTAACCAGCTGACAGGGTAGATGAAACTGGTTGAGTATAGTTCAAAATGCATTATTTCTTCGGAAAACATAATAAAGTCACTCTAAAACTCAGGCTTTTACACATGTAACTCCAAAAGTAAGCTTCACTCTATATACATTTTATGTAAGAAAAATATATTTTTTGGGCCAGGCACGGTGGCTCACGCCTGTAATCCCAGCACTTTGGGAGGCTGAGGCAGGTGGATCACCTGAGGTCAGGAGTTTGAGACCAGCCTGGACAACATGGTGAAATCCCTTCTCTACTAAAAAATACAAAAATTACCCGGGCGTGGTGGTGGGTGCAAGTAATTCCAGCTACTTGTGAAGCTGAGGCAGGAGAATCATTTGAAACCGGGAGGCAGAGGTTGTAGTGAGCCGAGATTGCGCCACTGCGCTCCAGCCTGGGTGACAGAGCGAGACTCCATCTCAAAAAAAAAAAAAAAAAAAAAAAGAAAAATAATATATTTCTTTTCTTTTAAATTATACTTTAAGTTCTAGGATACATGTGCACAACATGCAGGTTTGTTACATATGTATACATGTGCCATATTGGTGTGCTGCACCCATTAACTTATCATTTACATTAGGTATATCTCCTAATGCTATCCCTCCCCCCTTCCCCCACCCCACGACAGGCCCCAGTGTGTGATGTTCTACTTCCTGTGTCCAAGTGTTCTCATTGTTCAATTCCCACCTATGAGTGAGAACATGCAGTGTTTGGTTTTCTGTCCTTACGACAGATTGCTGAGAATGATGGTTTCCAGCTTCATCCATGTCCCTACAAAGGACATGAACTCATGCTTTTTTATGGCTGCATAATATTCCATGGTGTATATGTGCCACATTTTCTTAATCCAGTCTATCATTGTTGGACATTTGGCTTGGTTCCAAGTCTTTGCTATTGTGAACAGTGCCGCAATAAACATATGTGTGCATGTGTCTTTATAGCAGCATGATTTATAATCCTTTGGGTATATACCCAGTAATGGGATGGCTGGGTCAAATGGTATTTCTAGTTCTAGATCCTTGAGGAATCACCACACTGTCTTCCACAATGGTTGAACTAGTTTACAGTCCCACCAACAGTGAAAAAGTGTTCCTATTTCTCCACATCATCTCCAACACCTGTTGTTTCCTGACTCTTTAACGATCGCCATTCTAACTGGTGTGAGATGGTATCTCATTGTGGTTTTGATTTGCATTTATCTGATGGCCAGGGATGATGAGCATTTTTTCATGTGTCTTTTGGCTGCATAAATGTCTTCTTTTGAGAAGTGTCTGTTTATATCCTTTGCCCAGTTTTTGATGGTGTTGTTTGTTTTTTTCTTGTAAATTTGTTTGAGCTCTTTGTAGATTCTGGATATTAGCCCTTTCTCAGATGAGTAGATTACAAAAATTTTCTCCCATTCTGTAGGTTGCCTGTTCACTCCGATGGTAGTTTCTTTTGCTGTGCAGAAGTTCTTAAGTTTAATTAGATCCCATTTGTCAATTTTGGCTTTTGTTGCCATTGCTTTTGGTGTTTTAGACATGAAGTCCTTGCCCATGCCTATGTCCTGAATGGTATTGCCTAGGTTTTCTTCTAGGGCTTTTTTGGTTTTAGGTCTAACATTTAAGTCTTTAATCCATCTTGAATTAATTGTTGTATAAGGTGTAAGGAAGGGATCCAGTTTCAGCTTTCTACATATGGCTAGCCAGTTTTCCCAGCACCATTTATTAAATAGGAAATCCTTTCCCCATTTCTTGTTTTTGTCAGGTTTGTCAAAGATCAGATGGTTGTAGATGTGTGGTATTATTTCTGAGGGCTCTGTTCTGTTCCATTGGTCTATATCTCTGTTTTGGTACCAGTACCATACTGTTTTAGTTACTGTAGCCTTGTAGTATAGTTTGAAGTCAGGTAGCATGGTGTCTCCAGCTTTGTTCTTTTGGCTTAGGATTCTCTTGGCAATGTGGGCTCTTTTATGGTTCCATATGAACTTTAAAGTAGTTTTTTCCAATTCTATGAAGAAGGTCATTGGTAGCTTGATGGGGACGGCATTGAATCTATAAATTACCTTGGACAGTATAGCCATTTTCACGATATTGATTCTTCCTATTCATGAGCATGGAATATTCTTCCATTTGTTTGTGTCCTCTTTTATTTCATTGAGCAGTGGTTTGTAATTCTCCTTGAAGAGGTCCTTCACATCCCTTGTAAGTTGGATTCCTAGGTATTTTATTCTCTTTGAAGCAATTGTGAATGGGAGTTCACTCATGATTTGGCTCTCTGTTTGTCTGTTATTGGTGTATAAGAATGGTTGTGATTTTTGCACATTGATTTTATATCCTGAGACTTTGCTGAAGTTGCTTATCAGCTTAAGGAGATTTTGGGCTGAGACACACATAGGCTCAAAATAAATCGATGGAGGAAGATCTACCAAGCAAATGGAAAACAAAAAAAGGCAGGGGTTGCAATGCTAGTCTCAGATAAAACAGTCTTTAAACCAACAAAGATCAAAAGAGACAAAGAAGGCCATTACATAATGGTAAAGGGATCAATTCAACAAGAAGAGCTAACTATCTTAAATATATATGCATCCAATGCAGGAGCACCCAGATTCATAAAGCAAGTCCTTAGAGACCTACAAAGAGACTTAGACTCCCACACAATAATAATGGGAGACTTTATCACCCCACTGTCAACATTAGACAGATCAGTGAGACGGAAAGTTAACAAGGATATCCAGAAATAGAACTCAGCTCTGCACCAAGCGGGCCTAATAAACATCTACAGAACTCTCCACCCCAAATCAACAGAATATACATTCTTCTCAGCACCACATTGCACTTATTCCAAAATTGACCACATAGTTGGAAGTAAAGCACTCCTCAGCAAATGTAAAAGAACAGAAATTATAACAAACTCTCTCTCAGACCACAGTGCAATCAAACTAGAACTCAGGATTAATAAACTCGCTCAAAACCACTCAACTACATGGAAACTGAGCAACCTGCTCCTGAATGACTACTGGGTACATAAGGAAATGAAGGTAGAAATAAAGATGTTCTTTGAAACCAATGAGAACAAAGACACAACATACCAGAATCTCTGGGACATATTTAAAGCAGAGTGTAGAGGGAAATTTATAGCACTAAATGCCCACAAGAGAAAGCAGGAAAAATCTAAAATTGACACCCTAACATCACAATTGAAAGAACTAGAGAAACAAGAGCAAACACATTCAAAAGCTAGCAGAAGGCAAGAAATAACTAAGATCAGAGCAGAACTGAAGGAGATAGAGACACAAAAAAAAAAAACCTTCAAAAAATTAATGAATCCAGGAGCTGGCTTTTTGAAAAAATTAACAAAATTGTTAGACTGCTAGCAAGACTAATAAAGAAGAAAAGAGAGCAGAATCAAATAGATGCAGTAAAAAATGATAAAGGGGATATCACCACCGATCGTACAGAAATACAAACTACCATCAGAGAATACTATAAACATCTCTATGCAAATAAACTAGAAAATCTAGGAGAAATGGATAAATTCCTGGACACATACACCCTCCCAAGACTAAACCAGGAAGAAGTTGAGTCCCTGAATAGACCAAAATTGAGGCAATAATTAATAGCCTACCAAGCAAAAAAAGTCCAGGAACAGATGGATTCACAGCTGAATTCTACCAGAGGTACAAGGAGAAGTTGCTACCATTCCTTCTAAAACTATTCCAATCAATAGAAAAAGAGGGAATCCTCCCTAGCTCATTTTATGAGGCCAACATCATGCTGATACCAAAGCCTGGCAGAGACACAACAAAAAAAGAGAATTTTAGACCAATATTCCTGATGAACATCGATGCAAAAATCCTCAATAAAATACTGGCAACCCGAATCCAGCTGCACATCAAAAAGCTTATCCACCATGATCAAGTGGGCTTCATCCCTGGGATGCAAGGCTGGTTCAACATATGCAAATCAATAAATGTAATCCCTCATATAAACAGAACCAAAGACAAAAACCACATGATTATCTCAATGGATGCAGAAAAGGCCTTTGACAAAATTCAACAGCCCTTCATGCTAAAAACTCTCAATAAATTAGGTATTGATGGGACGTATCTCAAAATAATAAGAGCTATTTATGACAAACCCACAGCCAATATCATACAGAATGAGCAAGAACGGGAAGCATTCCCTTTGAAAACTGGCAGAAGACAGGGATGCCCACTCTCACCACTCCTATTCAACATAGTGTTGGAAGTTCTGGCCAGGGCAATCAGGCAGGAGAAAGAAATAAAGGGTATTCAATTAGGAAAAGAGGAAGTCAAATTGTCCCTGTTTGCAGATGACATGATTGCATATTTAGAAAAATAATATATTTCATTAAACCCCAGTGTATACATTACTCTGAAAAATTTCACTCTGCTCCTATCATAATGCTCATTTGTTAAATTTTAAGTTAAATGATGGAAAGCAAACAGCAATTCTGCAAGGGGAAATCAAATTCCACCTAATACTGAAGGTCTGTTACAATCTGCTCTAGGGTGTAATGATGAAGTGTAAACATGGAATGCATCTTAAGCCCTCCTCTAGTGGCTTTGAACAAAAGTGCACAGGACACAAAGATGATGTGACAACATATATTATATATTTTGTGACATACACGAGCTGAATTGTTTTATTTTAATTTATTTCAATGTTATTTTGATTATAAAATTATTGGGAACTTGTGGAAGAAAATTGGAAAACATAAAAAATTAAGTTTATCCATAAATATAAAATTAAACGAAAAAAACCAAAAAGATTAAGTATGTTAAGCAGAAATGGAGAAGATATTTTAAAAGTCTCAAATAAAATTCTACCAAGGAAAACAACAGTGTCGGAGATTAAATATACACTCAGTGAGAGTAATGCCAAATTAGACATTGTAGTAAAAATGATTAGTAAGAAAACCTAGGCAATATCATTCAGGACATAGGCACGGGCAAAGACTTCATGACTAAAACACCAAAAGCAATGGCAACAAAAGCCAAAATTGATAAAAGGGATCTAACTAAACCCAAGAGCTTCTGCATAGCAAAAGAAACTATCATCAGAGTGAACAGACAACCTCCAGAATGGGAGAAAATTTTTGCAATCTATCTATCTGACAAAGGGCTAATATCCAGAATCTACAAAGAACTTAAATAAATTTACAAGAAAAAAACAACCCCAGCAAAAATTGGGCAAAGGATATGAACAGACACTTCTCAAAAGAAGACATTTATGCAGCCAACAAACATATAAACAAAAGCTCATCATCACTAATCATTAGAGAAATGCAAATCAAAACCACAATGAGATACCATCTCACTCCAGTTAGAATGGCGATCATTAAAATGTCAGGAAACAACAGGTGCTGGAGAGGATGTGGAGAAACAGGAACACTTTTACACTGTTGGTGGGAGTGTAAATTAGTTCAACCATTGTGGAAGACAGTGTGACAATTCCTCAAGGATCTAGAACTAGAAATACCATTTGACCCAGCCATCCCATTACTGGGTATATACCCAAAGGATTATAAATCATGCTACTTTAAAGACACATGCATGCATATGTTTATTGCGGCACTGTTCACAATAGCAAAGACTTGGAACCAACCCAAATACCCATCAATGATAGACTGGATGAAGAAAATGTGGCACATATACACCATGGAATACTATGCAGCCATAAAAAGGATGAGATAATGTCCTTTGCAGGGACATGGATGAATCTGGAAACCATTATTCTAAGCAAACTATCACAAGGACAGAAAACCAAACACTGGGGCCTGTCGGGGCTGGGGTGCTAGGAAAGGGGAATCATTAGGAGAAATACCTAATGTAGATGATGGGTTGATGGGTGCAGCAAACCACCATGGCACGTATATACCTATGTAACAAACCTTCACATTCTGCACATGTACCCCAGAATTTAAAGTATAATAATAATAATAAAATGATTAGTAAATAACAGCAGAAACAACCCACACTGAAGCAATCAGAGAAAGAATACTTATTTTGGAAAATATTAAAGCATCAGTGAATGCTAGGACAATTTCAAGCAGGACAACTTCAAGTTGAACAATTTCAAGCAGTCTCTTACACATGAAATTAGAATATCTGGGAATAGAGACAGAAAAATATTTAAATAATAACGGTCAGTTTTATTCCAATTTTAAAGAAAACTAGACTTCTCTGGATTCAAGATGTTAAACAAACCCCAAGCACAAAACATTTAAAAAATGACCAGACCGTATCCTAATAAAATTGCTGAAAACCATTTTCAAGAAAAAACTTTTCAAATAGCCAGAAGAAAAAAAGACATGTTATATACAGAGGAAGAAAGATAATGATTCCAACACTTCCTTGGAAAAAAAAAAAGTAAATTAGAAAAAAGTGTAGCAATAACTTTAAAATACTAAAATTTGAAGAAGGTTATCTATCTAGAATTCTACACTCAATAAAAACATCTGTTGCAAACTAAGACCAGAGAGGATTCTGGGAAAATGGTAGAATAAGAAGCAACAGAAATCCATCTATTCACCTATACAACAATTGCACTGACAGAATCTGTTTGGTGTAACTATTTTGGAATGCTAGAGTTTATTCAAGGCTTCTAGAGTAAGACTTGGACAGTAAATTGTGGTTAATTTTGGACAATTGTACCTCTTGGAAAATTAGCAACTACACATCCCCCATCCATAGGCCCAGATATGCACATGTTCCTGGATCAACCTATACATTGGTTTCAGGCTGACAAAAAGGACACCATCCTCCAAATATTGAGGGATCTACACTTTGATTTCTGATTGATGCTTCTGATCACAGAAGTACAGACAAAGAGGTTGGTGGCCATTTTTTGTGTACCTTTACCCATATTTGCAAGCCCCTCTGCCTCCTGTTAAAGTAACTTTCAGAGTGTTTAAGGACAAGTGCTCTTTTTATTTAATTTTCTTTTCTCTTCTTCTTTTGGGAGGTAGTCATTAAAGGCTAGAACATCTGAGAGCAACTATGTGTTTAGTCCATTACAGCATTGCTATAAAGAAATACCTGAGTCTGGGTAAGTCATAAAGAAAAGAGGTTTAATTGGCTCATGGTTCTGCAGGCTACATAGGAAGCATAGCCCCAGAATCTGCTCAGCTTCTCGGGAGGCTTCAGGGAGCTTTTACTCATGGCAGAGAGCAAATCAGGAGCAGACACATCAAATGGTGAAAGCAGGGGAGGGGAGGTACCACACACGTTTAAACAGCCAGATCTCATGAAAAGTCACTCACTACTGTGAGGACAGCACCAAGCCATGAAAGATCCACCCCCTTGTCCCAAGCACCTTCCCCAGGAACCGTCTCCAACATTGGTGATCACATTTCAACATGAGATTCAGGCAAGGACAAATATCCAAACTATATGAAACTGCATAAACAGAGAAAACTAGAAAATGACCACATATGCCAAGAGTCATAAAAAACATCATGAGATGACCATAAAGTTTACACTTCAGGATGATCCTTGACACAGAGACAGCCTAAAATAATTAAAAGAGAATAAAATAGAAGAAAAAGAACAATAATTAAATTTTAAAAAGCAGTGTACCCTGGAGAGGAGAAAGAATCTGATTTCCAGAGTTGCAATATTATTAGACTCAAGTGTCCATTTATGAAGCAAAATTTACAATGCACACAAAGAGACAGGGAATTATGGCCCATCCAAAGGGAAAAAATCAACAGGAACAGCCTACGAAAAAACCTGATAAAAGATCTACTAGACAAAGAGTTTAAAACAACTGTCTTAAAGGTGCTCAAAGAACTAAACAAAAATGTAGAGAAAGTCAAGAAAATGATATATGAACAAAATGGAAATATCAATAAAGAGATGGAAAATCTAAAAAGAAACCCAAAAGAAATTTTAGTGCTAAAAATACAATAACTTTTGAACTTTGAAAAGTTCACTAGAGAGATTCAAAGACAGATTTGAACATGCAGAAGAATCAATATGCACAAAGTTAGAGCAATGAAAATTATTGATTCTGAGGGACAAAAGAAAAAGTATTAAGGAAAAGTGAATTGAGCCTAAGGCACCTGTGGAACAATGAATCAGGCTAACATGTATGTTCTGGGAGTTCCAGAAAGAGACGAGAAAAGAAAAGGAAAGGGAAGGAAGACAACGTTGCAGGAAATGAGGGGGAAAAAAGGCAAAAGGTACACAGAAAACATATGGAAAAAGAGCAGAAGTAAGTCCCCCATTTATCAGTAATCCCTTCAAATGTAAGTGGATTAAACTGTCCAATCAAAAGACAAAGATGAGCAGAATGAATAAAAGCAAATGATCCAACTACATGCTTTCAACAAAAGTCTCATTTTAGATCTAAAAGCACTTAGAAATTGAAAGAGAAAAGGTGAAAAAAGATGTTCCATGGAAGCAGTAACCAAAGAGAGGAGGGATAGCTATATTAATATTAGAGGAAGATAATTATTAATTCAAAGAAGTTTCCAAGAGACAAAGAAGAACATTATATATTAACAAATGGTAAAATACAGCAAGAATATATAACAAGTATAAGCATGCATGCATCTAGTGACAGACCATCAAAATATATAAAGCAAAAACTGACAGAACTGCCCAAAAGTTCCTAGATTTTTTTTAAAAATTTACTTTAAGTTCTGTGATACATGTGCAGAATGTACTGGCTTATTGCATGCGCCATGATAGCTTACTGCACCTATCAACCTGTCATCTAGGTTTTGAGTCCTGCATGTATTAGGTATTTACCCTAATGCTCTACCTCTACTTGCCCACCACCCTACAACAGGCCCCGGTATGTGTTGTTTTCCTCCCTGTGTCCGTGTGTTCTCAATGTTCAACTCCCACTTGTGAGTGAGAACATGTTGTGTTTGGTTTTCTGTTCCTGTGTTTGTTAGTTTGCTGAGGATGATGGTTTCCAGCTTCATCCATGTTTCTGCAAAGGACATGAGCCCATTCTTCTTTATGGCTGCATAGTATTCCATGGTGTATACATACCATGTTTTCTTTGTCCAGTCTATCATTGGTGGGCATTTGGGTTGGTTCCATGTCTTTGCTACTGTAAATAGTGCTGCAATAAACAAACATGTGAATGTATCTTTATAGTAGAATAATTTATGATCCTTTGAGTGTATGCCCAGTAATGAGATTGCTGGGTCAAATGGTATTTCTAGTTCTAGATCCTTGAGGAATCATGACACTGTCTTGCACAAGGTTGAACTAATTTACATTCCCACTAACAGTGTAAAAGCGTTGCTATTGCTCCACAGCCTCGCCAGCATCTATTGTTTCCTGACTTTTTAATAATTGCCATTCTTACTGGAGTCAGATGGTATCTCATTGTGGTTTCGATTTGCATTTCTCTAATGATTAGTGATGATGAGCTTTTTTTCATATGTCTGTTGGCAGCGTAAATGTCTTCTTCTGAGAAGTGTCTGTTCATATCCCTTGCCCACTTTTTGATGGGGTTGTTTGTTTTTTTCTTGTAAATTTGTTTAAGTTTCTTATAGATTCTGGTTATTAGTCCTTTGTCAGATGGGTAGATTGTAAAAATTTTCTCCCATTCTATAGGTTGCCTGTTCACTCTGATTCTAGTTTCATTTGCTGTGCAGAAGATCTTTAGTTTAATTAGATCCCATTTGTCAATTTTAGGTTTTGTTGACATTGTTTTTGGTATTTTTGTCATTAAGTCTTTGTCCATGCCTATGTCCTGAATGTTATTGCCTAGATTTTCTTCTAGAGTTTTATGGTTTGGGGCTTTACATTTAAGTCTTTCATCTATGTTGAGTTAATTTTTGTATAAGTGTAAGGAAGAGGTCCAGTTTCAGTTTTCTGGGTATGGTTAGCCAGTTTTCCCAGCACCATTTATTACATAAGAAATCTTTTCCCCATTGCTTGTTTTTGTCAGGTTTGTCGAAGATCAGATGGTTGTAGGTGTGTGGTGTTATTTCTGAGGTCTCTGTTCTGTTCTATTGGTCGATATGTCTGTTTTGGTACCACTACCATGCCGTTTGGTTACTGTAGCCTTGTAGTATAGTTTGAAGTCAGGTAGCATGATGCCTCCAGCTTTGTTCTTTTTGCTTAGGATTGTCTTGGCTATATGGGCTCTTTTCTTGGTTCCATATGAAATTTAAAGTAGTTTTTTCTAATTTTGCAAAGAAAGTCAAGGGTAGTTTGGTGAGAAGAGCATTGAATCTATAAATTACTTTGGGCAGTATGGCCATTTTCACGATATTGATTCTTCCTATCCATGAGCATGTAGTGTTTTTCCATTTGTTTGTGTCCTCTCTTATTTCTTTGAGCAGTGGTTTGTAGTTCTCCTCGAAGAGGTCCTTTACATCCCTTGTAAGCTGTATTCCTAGGTATTTTATTATTTTTGTAGCAATTGTGAATGGGAGTTTATCCATGATTTGGCTCTGCTTGTCTATTGTTGGTGTATAGGAATGTTTGTGATTTTTGCACATTGATTTTGTATCTTGAGACTTTGCTGAAGTTGCTTATGAGCTTAAGGAGTTTTGGGGCTGAGATGATGGGGTTTTCCAAATATACAATTATGTCATCTGAAAACAGAGACAATTTGACTCCCTGTCTTCTTATTTGAATATACTTTACTTCCTCCTCTTGCTGGACTGCCCTGGCCAGAACTTCCAATACTATGTTGAATAGGAGTGGTGAGAGAGGGCATCCTTGTCTTGTTCCAGTTTTCAAAGGGAGTATTTCCAGCTTTTGCCCATTCAGGATGATATTGGCAATGGATTTGTCATAAATAGCTCTTATTATTTTGAGATATATTTCATCAATACTAGTACATTGAGAGTTTTTAACCTGAAGGGATGTTGAATTTTATCGAAGGCTTTTTCTGCATCTATTGAGATAATCACGTGGTTTTTGTCATTGATTCTGTTTATGTAATTGGTTACATTTATTGATTTGCATATGTTGACCCAGCCTTGCATCCCAGGAATGAAGCTGACTTGATCGTGGTGGATAAGCTTTTTGATGTGCTGCTGGATTCTGTTTGCCAGTATTTTATTGAGCATTTTTGCATCGATGCTCATCAAGGATATTGGCCTAAGTTTTTCTTCTTTTCGTTGTGTCTCTGCCAGGTTTTGGTATCAGGATGATGCTGGTCTCATAGAATGAGTTAGGGAGAAGTCCCTCCTTTTTGATTGTTTGGAATAGTTTCTCTTTATACCTCTGGTAGAATTCAACTGTGAATACATCCGGTCCTGTGCTTTTCTCAGTTGATAGGCTATTAATTACTGCCTCAATTTCAGGATTTGTTATTGGTTTATTCAGGGATTTGACTTCTTTCTGCTTTAGTCTTGGGAGGGAGTATGTGTCCAGGAATTTATCTATTTCTTTTAGATTTTCTAGTTTATTTGCAGAGAGTTGTTCATACTATTCTCGGATGGTAGTTAGTATTTCTGTGGGGTCAGTGGTGATATCCCCTTTATCATTTTTTATTGTGTCTATTTGATTCTTTTCTCTTTTCTTCTTTATTAGTCTAGCTAGTGATCTATCCATTTTGTTAACTTTTTCAAAGACCAGCTCCTGTAATTCATTGATATTTTGAAAGGTTTTTCGTGTCTCTATCTCCTTCAGTTCTGCTCTGATCTTAGTTATTTCTTGTCTTCTGCTAGCTTTTTTATTTGTTTCCTCTTACTTCTCTATTTCTTGAATTGTGATATTAGGGTGTCGACTGAGATTTTCCAGCTTTCTGATGTGGGCATTTAGTGCTGTAAATTTCCCTCTTAACACTGCTTTAGCTGTGTCCCAAAGATTCTGGTAAGTTGTCTCTTTGTTCTCCTCGGCTTCAAATAATTTCTTGATTTCTGCCTTAATTTTGTTATTTACCCAGGAACTGTTCAGGAGCGGGTTGTTCAACTTGCATATAGTTGTACGGTTTTGAGTGAGTTTCTTAATCCTGATTACTAATTTGATTGCACTGTGGTCTGAGAGACTTTGTTATTATTTCATTTCTTCTGCATTTGCTGAGGAGTGTTTTACTTCCAATTATGTGGTCGATTTTAGAATAAGTATAATGTGGCACTAAGAAGAATGTTTATTCTGTTGTTTCGGGGTGGAGAGTTCTGTAGATGTGTATTAGGTCCACTTGATCCTGAGCTGAGTTCAAGTCCTGTATATCCTTATTAATTTTCTGTCTCACTGATCTGTCTAATATTGGCAATGGGGTGTTAAATTCTCCCACTATTATTACATAGGAGTGTAAGTCTCTTTGTAGGTCTCTAAGAACACACTTTATGAATCTGGGTGCTCCTGTATTGGGTGCACATATATTTATGATAGTTATCTCTTCTTGTTGCATTGATCTCTTTACCATTATGTAATGCCCTTCTTTGTCTTCTTTGATCTTTGGTGGTTTAAAGTCTGTTTTATCAGAGACTAGAATTGCAACCCTTGCTTTTTTTGCTTTCCATTTGCTTGGTGAATATTCCTCCATCCTTTTATTTTGAGCCTATGTGTGTCTTTGCAAGTGAGATGGGTCTCCTGAATAAAACACACCAATAGGTCTTGACTCTTTGTCTAATTTGCTAGTCTGTGTCTTTTAATTGGGGCAGTTAGCCCATTTACATTTAAGGTTAATATCGTTACGTGTGAATTTGATCCTAGCATCATGATGCTAGCTGGTTATTTTGTACATTAGTTGAGGCAGTTTCTTCATAGTGTCATTGGTCTTCATATTTTGATGTGTTTTTGCAGTGGCTGGTACCCGTTTTTCCTTTCCATATTTAGTGCTTTCTTCAGAAGCTCTTGCAAGGCAGTCCAGGTGATAACAAAATCCATTAGCATTTGCTTGTCTAAAAAGGATTTTATTTCTCCCTTTTTATGAAGCTTAGTTTGGCTGGATATGACATTATGGGTTGAATATTCTTTTCTTTAAGGATGTTGAATATTGGCCTCCACTCTCTTCTGGCATGTAGAGTTTCTGCAGAAAGATCTGCTGTTAGTCTGATGGGTTTCTTTTTGTAGGTGACCTGACCTTTCTCTCTGACTGCCCTTAACATTTTTTCCTTCATTTCAACCTTGGAGAATCTGATGATTATGTGTCTTGGGATTAATCTTCTCGTGGAGTATCTTAGTGGTGTTCTCTGTATTTCCTGAATTTGAATGTTGGACTGTCTTGCTAGGTTGGGGAAGTTCTCCTGGATAATATCCTTAAGTGTGTTTTCCAACTTGGTTCCATTCTCTCCATCACTTTCAGGTACACCAATCAATCGTAGGTTTGGTCTCTTTACATAGTCCCATATTTCTTGGAGGAAAAGCACCTAGATTTGATAGACATCTTCAGCAAAGTTTTTGGATGTAAAATCAGTGTACAACTATCAGTAGCATTTCTATATACAAATAATGTCCAAGCTGAGATGCAAATCAAGAATGCAATCTCATTCACAACAACCACAAAAAGTATAAAATATCTAAGAATACAGATAATCAGGGAGGTGAAAGAGCTCTACAATGAGAATTACAAAACACTGCTGAAAGACATCAGATGACACAAACAAATGGATAAACATTCCATGGTCATGAACAGAAAGAATTAATATAATTAAAATGAACATATTGCCCAAAGCAATACTCTTCTTGTCAAACTATCAATGACAATTTTCACAGAATCAGAAAAAAAGTTATAAAATTCTTATGCAACCAGAAAATATTCTGAATAGCAAAAGCAATCCTAAACAAAAAGTATAAAGCCAGAGGCATGACACTACCTGACGTCAAAATATACTGCAATGCTACAGTAATCAAAATACCGTGGTACTCATACAAAAACAGACACATAGACCAATGAAACAGGTTTGAAAATCCAAAAGTAAAGCTGCACAACTACAACCATGTGATCTCTGATAATGTTGACAATAATAAGCAATGAGAAAGGACCCCCTATTCAATAAATGGTGAATATATAACTGGTAAGCCATATGCAGTAAGTCGCAACTGGACCACTTCCTTTCACCATACACAAAATCAACTCAAAGTAGATCAAAGACTTGAATGTAAAACCTAAAACTACAAAAACTTTAGAAGAAAACATAGAAAATACCACTGTGGACGTTGGCCTTGGAAAGGATTTCATGATAAAGACTCCAAAAACAATTGCTACAAAAACTAAAATTGGCAACTGGGATCAAATTAAACTGAAGAGCTTCTGTACAACAAAAAACTTACCAACAAGGTAATCCAATAACCTACACAATGGGATAAAATATTTGCAATTTATTCATCTGACAAAGGTCTAATATTCAAAAACTGTAAGGAACTTAAATAACAAGCAAAAAACAAACAGCCGCATTAACAAGGGCCAAAGACATTAAAAGACACTTCTCAAAAGAAGACACACACATGGCCACCAAGCATATGAAAAACTGTTCAACAGCACTAATTATTGGAGACATTCAAATCAAAACCACAATGAGAAATAATCTCATGCCAGTCAGAATGACTATTACTAAAGTCAAAAAATGACAGATGCTGGGAAGGTTATGGAGCATACAGAGCACTTATACACTGTTAGTGTGGAATATTAATTACTTCACCCACTGTGGAAAGCAGCTCTCAGATTTCTCCAGGAACCTAAAACAAATCTATCGTTCAACCCAGCAATCTCAGTGTTGGGTATATACCCAAAGGAATATAAATTGTTCTACTATAAAGACACATGCATGCATATGTTTATCCCAGCACTGTTCACAATAGCAAAGACACAAAATCAACCCAGATGTCCATCAATGGTGAATTTGATAAAGAAAATTTGGTACATATAGACCTTGGAATACTACACACCTATAAAAAGAATGAAATGATGTCCTTTGCAGCAACATGGATGGAGCTGGCGATAATTTTTTTTTTATTTTTTGTTTCCTAGGCTGGAGTGCAGTGGCATGGTCTCAGTTCACCATTCTTTTTTTTTTTTCATTTTATTATTATTATACTTTAAGTTTTAGGGTACATGTGCACAATGTGCAGGTTAGTTACATATGTATACATGTGCCCTGCTGGTGTGCTGCACCCATTAACTCGTCATTTAGCATTAGGTATATCTCCTAATGCTATCCCTCCCCCCTCCCCCCACCCCACAACAGTCCCCAGAGTGTGATGTTCCCCTTCCTGTGTCCATGTGTTCTCATTGTTCAATTCCCACCTATGAGTGAGAACATGTGGTGTTTGGTTTTGTGTCCTTGCGATAGTTTACTGAGAATGATGATTTCCAATTTCATCCACGTCCCTACAAAGGACATGAACTCATCATTTTTTATGGCTACATAGTATTCCATGGTGTATATGTGCCACATTTTCTTAATCCAGTCTATCATTGTTAGACATTTGGGTTGGTTCCAAGTCTTTGCTATTGTGAATAGTGCCGCAATAAACATACGTGTGCATGTGTCTTTATAGCAGCATGATTTATAGTCCTTTGGGTATATACCCAGTAATGGGACGGCTGGGTCAAATGGTATTTCTAGTTCTAGATCCCTGAGGAATCGCCACACTGACTTCCACAATGGTTGAACTATTTTACAGTCCCTACCAACAGTGTAAAAGTGTTCCTATTTCTCCACATCCTCTCCAGCACCTGTTGTTTCCTGACTTTTTAATGATCACCATTCTAACTGGTGTGAGATGGTATCTCATTGTGGTTTTGATTTGCATTTCTCTGATGGCCAGTGATGGTGTCAGCTCACTATTCTAAGTGAATTAAAGCAAGAACAGAAAACTAAATACTGCATGATCTCCCTTCTAAGTGGAAGCTAAACATTGAGTACACATGGACACAAAGAAATAAACAACAGACACCGGGGTGTACTTGAGGGTGAAGAGAGGGAGACAGGTGAGGATCAAAAAGCTACCAATCAGGTAGTATGCTCATTACTTGGATGACAAAATAATCTGTACACGAAACCCCTTAACACACAACATAGCCATGTGACAAACCTGCACGTATTCCCCCTGAATCCAAAATAAAAGTTGGAAAGAAAAAGAAGACCAGAAAAATGACTTTTGTCCAAAAGACAGCCTGTAACAAATGCTGGAGAAGATGTGGAGAAAGGAGAACCCTTGTACACTGTTGGTGGGGCTATAAATTAGTACAGCCAGTAACTATGTAAACCAATATGGATGTTCCTCAAAAAGCTAAAACTAGAACTACCATATGTTTCAGCAATCCCAATAGTGAGTATATATCCAAACAGAGGAAATCAGTATATCAAAGAGGTATCTGTGGTCTCATGTTTATTTCAGCACAATTCACAATAGCCAAGACATGAAATCAGCCCAGGTATCAATTAATGGCTGAATTAATAAAATGCGGTACACATACACAATGGAACATTATTCAGCCATAAAAATCAACGAAGTCCTGTTATTTGCAGCAACAGGTATGGAACCGGAGGACTTATATTAAGTGAAATAAGCCTGACACAGAAAGACAAATATCACATATTCTCACTCAGATGTGGGAGCTACTTTTTGAAATAACCTGAATGACTCTTCTAAAAGAAATCGATGGTGAAACAGCACTGATCGTCCATGTAGAGTTCTATGTACTCCTGTTCCTAGCAGATTTCCACTCTAAGTAACTCAGATTACTTTTATTTACTATTTTTTTTTTACTTTTGTGTTTTCTGGTCCACAAAAACACAAATAGCAGATTTATGAGAAAAAGCCATGAAAGCGGAGACCTGTGAAAAGTCTAAGTTGCACATTATGATCCCAAGAACAAATAAGTCAAAGAAAGATAAAATGACATCACAATATTTTCAGTTTAAAAAATGCATACATAAAATAAATTTGTTGGGGAAAAAGTACATTGCAAGCTAGAAGTAACTCGCTGTATACCCACAGGTGTGTGGGGGTCGATAGCGAATCTCATAGAAGCAATTTTTGCCACTTGATAACTATTTGCTGAGTGATTAATTAATTAGTATTATGTTACAGTCTCTGAAAATATACACTATATTAGTAGGAAATGAAGACTTTCAAAATAAAATGACTTAATGCTTCTACTCACACTTTATATTGGCCATGATAAAAGTCACATAATATTACTGTATATTTATCTTAATAATATGTTTTACTTCAGGGACTACTTTGTTATTTATATTAGTTATTTACTTCCTAGATATTGCATTAACCTTTTTATGCAAATAAATGAGAGCATACCAAGAAATTTTTTAATAAAACTTATAAGAAGTATGAAAGGAATATATTAATAATTTAAGAAACAGAAAATAGAGGTAGGAACAGTTGAGGTAATATTCCAATTGCTTGCATTTGGTGGGTTGAGACATAGAGATAAAAAAATAATGAGGGATTTTTTTTCCAGTAACCATATAATGTCACTACTTTTCTTTATTTTAAAAACTTTGGGGGCCCTTCAGGTGGATGGGGGTGAGACAGCAAATCTCATAGAAGTAATTTTTGCCACTTGATAACTATTAGCTGAGTGACAAAAGTCAGGCACCATCTTGATGTCCCTTTTCTAATTGTCCTGTCTGTGCTTTGCTTCTCTGTTCTTTGCTTCTCTGTTCTTGTTTACTTTTTTGAGGAAGAGAGGTGGAGGATGAGTTAAGTTGTTCTCTTTCTTTTTAAATTATTCTATTTTATCTCTTCTCTTGAGTGTCCAGTTACTTCACTTTACACTATTTTTTAACTGGCTTTCAGATGAAAATATGTGCACTAACATACCACATTCCACTTTCCAAAATTATTCTACCTTATGCTTCAGGTTTGGAAAATATGGTATAGACCTGTGTCTCCTTGTAACTCCCTGCTAAACATAACGATATACCCTTAAAAATACAAATAGCTGGGATTACAGGCGTGAGCCACCGCGCCTGGCCGAGGCGGGTGGATCACGAGGTCAGGGGATCGAGACCATCCTGGCTAACACGGTGAAACCCCGTCTCTACTAAAAATACAAAAAAGTAGCCGGGCGTGGTGGCGGGCGCCTATAGTCCCAGCTACTCGGGAGGCTGAGGCAGGAGAATGGCGTGAACCGGGGAGGCGAAGCTTGCAGTGAGCCGAGATCGCGCCACTGCACTCGAGCCTGGGCGACAGAGCGAGACTCCGTCTCACACACACACACACACAAAATACAAATAGCAACAAAATGAGAATACTGAAAGATGGTAAGACAAAGGCAAACCAGTTTGGGATCCCAGCACTAGAGGAACAACATAGTAGTAGGGCATTTTAGGGCTCCCACTTAACAGAAGAAGTTGACACACAGTCATTTGTAACTGCAAACAGCAACAGAACGCAACTCAAATAGACCAATCTGGATCAAAAAGGAGTCCCTCTGACAACACTAGACTAACTGGCAGAACCGGCAAGGGACATCAATCGAAATTCCTTGCAAAATTAAGCAGTCCAGGAAAGTGCTGCCCTTTTTCTGCTGACCTAAAACTGCCTTTTTCTGCTTACAAGGTAACTGAAGATGGAGAGACTAGGGAGGTGAGGGAGAGTGAGAGACAAACGAATAGAAGGTACTCTAGAAACATTCAATAAAATACACTCACAGCTACTATAAATAAAGCAAGGTGGAATTCTAAAAAAGTATGTAAGTATTACAAAGGAAGAGAGGAAAAAATAAACAGTACAATGAGAACCAGAGTAAATACAGAGAAAACAAAAATGAATAAATGAATGCATGAATAAATAAATAAGTAAATAAATAAATAAATAAATAGACTAAATTCTAACTGCAAGAATTGTTTTAGATATAGGAAATCTTATTCCAAAATTTATAAGGATAGGTACAGATTTTATAACAGCTAAAATAATTTTGACAAAAATAAAGTGAGAAGAATCACCCTGTACAACACTAAGTCTTACCATAAGACTATAGCAACCAAAATTGTGTGGTATTGGTGGAAGGACACATACATAGATCAATGAAACAGAACTTAGAAATGGAGTCTAACAAATATGCTCAACGGATTTTTTGCACAATTGTAGAAGCAATTCAGTGGAGGAAGAAAAGCCTTTTTGACAAATGGATCTGCAGCAATTGAATTTCCATAGGCCAGAAGAGAAAAAAGGAAAAGAAAAACAAACCAAAATTCTACAACTTGAACCTCATACATTATGCAAAAATTAACTAAAATATATATCATGAACTTAAATGTAAACTATAAAACTGTAAAACTTTAAGAAAATAATAGGAGAAAATCTTTGGGATCCAAGGAACAACTTCTTAGACTTGACTCCAAAAGCATAATCTATCAAAGAAAAAATGGATAAATTGGACATAATCAAACAACAACAACAACAACAAAATACTTTTGCTCTGCGAATGGTCATGTGAAGAGAAAGAAAAGAGAAGATCTAGACTGGAAGAAAGTATACAAACCATATATTCACCAAAAGACTAGTGTTTAGAATGTATAAGGAACTTTCAAACTCAACAGTTAAAAAAAAAATCTAATTAGAAAACGGGCCAAAAAAAAATGTGAACAGACATTTTACGAAAGATCATATAAATACAGCAAATAAGCGTGAGAAGATATGTTAAACATCATTATTCATCAGAGAAATGCAAATTGAAACCATAATGCATATTATTATGTGCCTATCTAAATTGATAAATTAAAACTAGCAATAACAACAAAGGCTGGTGAGGATGCATGCAGAGAAACTAGGCCACTATACAAGCTGGTGGAAATAAAAGTTGGTACAGCCACCCTAGAAATTAGTCTGGCAATTTTTTATAAAACAAAATATGCAATTACCATATAACTAATCAATTGCACTCCTGGGCTATTATCCTAAAAAAAAATGAAAACTTAAGTTCATTTTAAAAACCCTGCTCAACAAGGTTCATAGCAGCTTATTCATAATATCCAAGACCTAGAAACAGTTTAGATGTATCCTGTATCCCAAAGTGTGAATGGTTATACAAACTGGTACAGCTATACTGTGAAGTATCATTCAGCAAATAGATATATCTAATGGAAATTAAGCTAAGTGAAAGAGAGAGAAAGAGAGTGAGAGAGAAGGGGGGTGTAAGAGGTAATTCCATAATGCTGCATACTATATGATTCTATTTATACAACATTTTTAAAGTGACAAAAATTTAGATAGATTAGTGGTTTTCAGAACCTAGGGAGTATGGAGGGTGGGGGTGGGGCTGAATGTTGTTATTAAAGAACAGGAGGGATCCTTGTGGTAATGGAATTTTTTTGTATCTTGTCTGTGGCAATGGATGCATGAACTTTACACATGTGATAAAATTGTGTAAGACTAATTAGACATACACAAATGAGTATAAGTAAAATGACATCTAAAGAGATAGGTAGAGTGTATCAATGTCAGTATCTTGGCTGCGATTTTGTATTATAGATTTTAAAGATGTTATTAATATTACTTGGGGAAACTGGGTAAGGCATACTTGGGATCTCATTATTATTTATTACAACTGCATGTGAATCTACAATAATCTCAAAGCAAATTGTAATTATAAAAAAATTCCCACCCTCCAACCTTTCTGAGTCTCCAGTGTCTATTATTCCACATTCTATGTTTATGTGTCCAAATTATTTAGCTCCTACTTATAAGTGAGAATACGCAGTATTTGACTTTTTGTGTCTGAGTTTTTTCACTTAAGGTAATGGTCTCCAATTCCATCAATGTTGCTGCAAAAAACATTATTTCATACTTTTTATGACTGAATAGTATTCCATTTTGTGTATGTATATGTATATATACACCACATTTTCTTATCCAGTCATTGATGAATACTTAGGTTGATTCCATATCTTTGCTATTCTGAATAGTGCAGGTATGTTTTTGATATAATGATTCCTTTTCCTTCGAATAGATACCCAGTGGTGGGATTGCTGGATTGAATGCAGTTCTATTTTATTTCTTTGAGGAATCTCCATACTGTTTTCCATAGAGTTTGTACTAATTTATATTCCCACCAACACTGCATAAATGTTCACTTTTCTCTACATCCTCATCAACATCTGTTATTTTTTGACTTTTTAATAATAGCCATTCTAACTGGCATAAGACGATACATCATTGTGGTTTTAATTTGCATTTCTCTGATGTTTAGTGTTGTGGAACATTTTTTCCTATGCTTCTTGGCCATTTTTAAGTATTCTTTTGAAAAATGTCTTTTGATATATGTTGCCCAATTTTTAATGGGGTCATTTGTTGTTGTTGTTGTTGTTAGGTGTTCATTTATTTGTATTTGCCCATCATGGGATTTGCTCAGCAACTTGGATCTGTGGAATGAAGTCATTCATCAATTTTGGAAGTCTTGCTTATTGCCTCTACACATATTACTTCTGCCCATACCTTCAAGATACTGGGATGTTTGGTTTGAAAACTCCCTAGATGCCCAGCAGAACTTTTCATGGAACTATAATTCAATCTGAGACTTTTCCAACTCAATTCCTCTTTTCCTTATCTTTTCTTCTTCAGGTATTATATCTGCATTGCAGCCTGAAGATCTCTCAACGATCTCCTACACTGTTATCTAATACATATCTTACACATCTAATCTCATCTTAGTGTCTGCTTTTTGTTGGGCCTGAATTAATGCAAGTGGCTCTGAATGTAATTCAAGAAAACAGGCAATAAAATGAGGATTTAGAATTGGCTCACTCACTTTCTAGTGAGCAAAGAGGCTGCAACACTTAATAGGCAATGGATAGTCCTTGGAACAAGGTGGCAACAAAGTACCTAAAATGTTTTACCATTGGCGACAGGAGATTATCCTGGTTGATTAGATCTGCCTTGTGAGTGTGATTATTCAGACATCTGACAGACATGGGGTGAAGTACCTAAAAGGACAGTAAGTTTAATTGGTTAATGAAAAATTACATTGACTTTCTACAGAGGGATAAGAGAACAAAACTAAGTGTCATTAACAATCAGCTAAAGATAAGCTTAAAAATCCAGAAGTCCTCTTTGTCAATTAACCAAGAATCCCTTATCTGCTACTATGGAAGAGCAAGTAGAAATGAGAAGCAGACTAAAGGAATTATAGTTAATATCATAGAGCTCCAGGGATGTTGGTATGCCCAGTCAACTTATATCTGTTATACTAAGATGAGCACCCAGATTGAGAAAATCCAGGACCCTGAAACATGGGCTAGAGACATTGGGATGTATGTTTTTGATGATGTTGTCTTTGAAGACTCCCAAAAACTTTATAGTTTTCACAAGTGGCCCATTGTAATTTCCCCCATGTTAAAAGCACTGAAAGGTAAAATGTGCTCTCTTCCAGAGATGCCAACATGTCTTTTCTTCACTGCCAGGCTGGTAATTAGAGTTGAATCTTATTCTAATTTTAAGATACAGGACATATTAATATAAGAGGTGACCAGGTCCCTAGATAGAAGGACACTGTAACACCACAGCAAGTATTTATGCAGATTCTCTCAGTTCTTTCCTAATGAAAGCTATGGTTATTCATTCAGATGGCCATATGTGAAATAAACGGGAGAAACAGATAGTTTGAGAACTATTAGACAGAGGGTCTAAGTTGACTTTGATACTCAAAAACCCAAAATATTGTCAACATCTCCTTGTAAGAGGAAGTTACATTGGGAAAGTAATAAATGAAGTCCTGGCTGAAGTTTGGTTCACACGATCCCATTCAGGGCTCATTTCCCTAGTAGTTGCGTGGATAATTGGAATTAGGATACATGGCAGTTGAAGCAACCACTATATTTTGTCATTACTATGTGGGATAAAAGCTATGTATTCCAGGCCGGGCGCGGTGGCTCACGCCTGTAATCCCAGCACTTTGGGAGGCCGAGGCGGGTGGATCATGAGGTCAGGAGATCGAGACCATCCTGGCTAACAAGGTGAAACCCCGTCTCTACTAAAAATACAAAAAAGTAGCTGGGCGTGGTGGCGGGCGCCTGTAGTCCCAGCTACTCGGGAGGCTGAGGCAGGAGAATGGCGTGAACCCGGGAAGCGGAGCTTGCAGTGAGCCGAGATTGCGCCACTGCAGTCCGCAGTCCGGCCTGGGCGACAGAGCGAGACTCCGTCTCAAAAAAAAAAAAAAAAAAAAAAAGCTATGTATTCCAATGGGGGGATCTTTCCTGCCTCTGGCAAGATAGCAAAACTAAAACAATATTGTATCCTGGAGGGTGAGATGAGCTGGAGATTTGTGCCCCTATTAAAGACCTAAAGGATGCAAGGTTATTGAACTTCGTATTGGTTTGCTAGAGCTGCGATATCCAAGTACCACAGATTGGGTGGTTAAACAACAGAAATTTATTTTTTTATGCTTCTGGAGGCTAGAAAGCCAAGATCATTGTATCAACAGGTTTGGCTTCTTCTGAGGCCTATCTTTGGCTTACAGATGGCCATCTTCTCCCTGTACCCTCACATGGTCTTTCCTCTTTGTGAGCACATTCCTGGTGTTTGTGTTTCACAATTTCCTCTTTTAAAAAAATTTATTTATTTTCAGATGGAGTTTCACTGTTGTTGCCCAGCCTGGGGTGCAATGGCACGATCTCGGCTCACTGCAGCTCCGCCTCACGGGTTCAAACGATTCTCCTATTTCAGCCTCCCAAGTAGCTGCAATTACAGGCACCCACCACCACGCCCAGCTGATTTTTGTATTTTTAGTAGTGACGGGGTTTCACCGTATTGCCCAGGCTGGTCTAGAACTCCTGGCCTCAGATGATCTGCCCACCTCGGCCTCCCAAAGTGCTGGGATTACAGGCGTGAGCCACCATGCCAGGCTCACAATTACCTCTTTTTATAAGGACTCTCTGGTCAGATTGGATTAGGACCCACTAAAATGACCTCATTAACTTAATCATCTCTTTAAAGACCCTACCTCTAAATACAATCGCATTCCTAGGTACTGGGGGTTGGGTGTTTATCATATGAGTTTTCAGGGAACACAATTCAGCCCATAACACTCCCTATTATAGCCGGTGTAATTAGCATATTTAGCACCTTCAGAAATCAGTGAGATTATTGAGAATGAATGTGTACTACTACAAGACCAACCAAGTAGTAGCCCTGACTGCAGCTGTGTATTTAACTTTGTACCATTGTTAAAGGAGACTAATAAGTCCTCAGGTACATGGCATGTGGCCATTGATTTCGCAAATATGTTCGTTCTTTTCCCAAACAATTGAACACAGAGATCAGAGACGGTTTGTATGCACATATAACAGTAAATGATCTTTGTTATGTTTTTTACCTCAGGGTTATTTTAACTCTCCTATTCGCTGCAATAATGTAGTCTGGAAAGATCTGAAATTCCTGGATATCCAAGAAATGTCACACTGATCCATTACATTAATAACATCATGCACAATGATCAAGAGGTGGCTAATATACTACTAGATGCTTTGATAAGTCACTTGCATTCCAGAGGGTGGAAGATAAGTGTTACTGCAATTCAGAGATTAGACATCTCAGTGACATTTTTAGGGGCCAAGTGGCCAGAGACATCTTAAAATATGCCTGCTTAAATACAAGATAATTTACTAGGTTTTACATCCCTTAGCACAAACAAGGAATCACAGTGTCTGGTAGGCATATTTGAGTTCTGGAAGTAACAAATTCCACTCTTAGAAATATTCCTATGGCCTATATATTTTGTGCCGTGAAAAACATACAACTTTGAGTAGAGCCTCATGAGAGAAAGGGTTCTATTTTAGCTCCAGGCTTTGGTTAAAGCAGCCTTGCAACTTAGGTTATAAGATCTGTCAGATCCTAAAGTATTACAGGTGTAAATGGTCTAAAAAAATTTCATGTGGAGCTTATGGTGAACTCTGGGGGGAATAATCACAAAACATTCTGAAGCAAAGTTATGTCATCTGCACAGAGAATTATACACCTTTTGAAAACTTGCCTTGATGTGTTACTGCACTTTGGTAGATATAGAACACTTTACCATGGGCACCAATATGCCCATGCATCTGTTTTGAGCTGAGGGAAAGAGTGGTATCTCTAGCCAAATTTCTATATCAAAATCAGAAGAAGGATAATCTTCATATGTCATTTGTGTGTGTGCATGTGTGTCTGTTGGTCTATTCCAAAAAGTTGAAAATATTATGTGCCAAAAGATAAATGGTAAATATTTCTGGAAATAGTATTGAGATTATAGTGGTTTTTTCTTTGGTATTAATTTGATTCATTTCTATTTCATTGCATTTTCTAACATATCTGAAATAAACATGTATTACATGTGCAATCAAGAAATGATGAAAATTTTGAAAAAGCCATACTTTGTGGATAAATACAAACTAACTGGTAAGTTAATACTTGATAAATGCAGAAATTCTCAGGAAAAAAAAACAGATTTTCTCTGTTTCAAATCAAAAGCCTAATTGATCCATGCTCTTTTCTAGTTGATACTTTCTTGAAAAAACAGAATTATTCTGATATTTTTTGTTGTGTTAGGAGGAAAACATATTCTGAGTCTCCTCAAAATACCATCAATCTTATATACATTTTGAAATTTTATGTATGTGTGCATATAAGTAGTTTTAACTTGATCATACTTATGAAGATTTTCTATTACACATTGGTTTGCAGATACAGATATGAAACTTTTAGAAATAAGAACCAAAATAAAAATGATTTACTATACTGTTATAATAAATATATTTAAGCAATTTATATGCATTTAATCTTGATGGCCTTATATAACATTATTTTATAAAATTTATTTAAATTCAAATGATGAATTCATATTTTGAAAAGATAATACGGTTAATACATCATTGGTTAAATAAGTAGAAAGAATGAACACTTAATATTAATTAAATCTAATATTTTTTTTAAAGCCCTAATCTTTTTTTTTTTTTTTTTTTGAGACAGAGATTCGCCCTTGTCACCCAGGCTGGAATGCAGTGGTGTGACCTCAGCTGAGTGCAACCTCCACCTCCCTGGTTCAAGCGATTCTCGTGCCTCAGCCTCCTGAGTAGCTGGGATTATAGGCGCCTGCCACCATGCCCGGCTAATTTTTGTATTTTTAGTAGAGACAGGGTTTCACCATATAGGCCAGGCTGATCTCAAACTCCTGACCTCAGGTGATCCGCCTGCCTTGGCCTCCCAAAGTGCTGAGATTACAGGCTTGGCACCTGGCCTCCTAATCCTAATCCTTTTTATAATGAAAATCACCTTATTGCTTGTATCAAAATTGTGTGATCATTGTGATTTTGTGCATCTTAATCTGTTAATAATAATCTAACATTAATTAGATAACAATTATCTTAGAGTATTTGAATGTCGGAGACATTATTTGATGGCAGCCAATAATAATTACTATTACTATTAAAGTTTTGGTTATTTTCCACTCCTATATTTTAAACTGACCCACTGTGTTGCCCTATTAAGAAAAGAGTTTGTTTACATTTTGGAATATATTGGGTCATATATTTAATGCTAAAAATATGGAACCATGATCAAAATATTTAAGTCAGGAACTAAGTAAATATTGTGAATCAAGTTCAATGCACACTGGTTGCCACTTCAGCCCACTGCATATTGGGCTGCAATTTCTACTACTTGTATGAGTCCGTTGAGACAAAACTATCACACAGCAAGTTACATAAAGCAACTTTACTAATCACAGATAAATAGCAAGAGACAGTAGAAGCCTAGAATTAGGGCAGGCCAGTCCCATAAGGCTCAAGCTGCCCAGGATAGATGGAATATCGTCTGCATGTTCTTCACTTGCAGTGCAGCTGAGGGATCCTGGAAAGCAGCCCATTCTGGGTTTTTACCACTGGGGTAATGCAAACAGTTGGAACAAAGTGTTGAAGGGCATCTTTTTTTTTTTTTTCTAGGAAAGACAAGAAAAGATCCCCAGCTGTTCCAGCCAGCTCCTCCTTATCTCAGGATATTTCATCCCCAGCATGTTCTTCAGTTATTCTTGAGAACTACAAGCTAGAAAGAGGGGAGAGCTAGGTAAGTCTAAGACCTGCTAGAGAACTGTCCTTCTAATATTATTTAAGCAACTGAAGTGTATTTTTACTTTTTAAATATTTTAATCTTGCTGTATACTTCACAAGTGGAACTATGTTAAACTAAAAAGACATCTTCCCAGCAAGGGAAACAATCAACAGAGTGAAAAGACAACCTGAAGAATGGGAGAACGTATTTGCACACTATTCATCCAACAAGGGACTAACACCCAGAATATACAAGTAAATCTAACAATTCAACAGCAAAAAATAAAATAAAATACCATTAAAAAGTGGGCAAAAGACTTGAATGGATATTTCTCAAAAGATACACAAATGGCTAAAATGTATATATATACACACATATATATACACACATATATATACACATATATATACACACATATATATGTATATATATATACATATATACACACATATATACACACATATATATGTATATATATATACATATATACACACATATATATGTATATATATATACATATATACACACACATATATATATATAAAGTCCAACATCACTAATTGTCAGGAAAAGGCAAATCAAAACCACACTGCAATATCTTCTTAACCCAATCAGAATGGCTATTATGAAGATGACAAAAAATAACAGATGTTGGTAAAGATGTAAAGAAAAGGGAACTCTTATAAACTGTTGTTGGCAGTGTAAGCTACTGCACCCTTATAAAGTTAAAAAAAACGCAATATGGAGGTTTCTCAAAAAAACTAAAAATAGAGCTACCATATGATACAACAATCCTACTACAGTGTCTTCATCCAAAGGAAAGGGAATCAGTATATCAAAGGACTAACTTCACTCCTGTTTATTTCAGCATTATTCACAGTAGCCAACATAGGGAAACAATTTAGGTCTCCATCAACAGATGAAAGGATAAAGAACATTTAGTATACATATACAATGGAATATCACTTAGTCATAAAACAGAATGAAATCCTGTCATTTTCAGCAACATAGATGAAAAGGGAGGTTATTATGGTAAGTGAAATAAGCTAGGCACAGAGAGACAAATACCACATGTTCTCATTCATGGTAGAACTAAAACATTTTATCTTATGAGGTATAAAGTAGAGTGATATTTACCAGAGGCTAAGAAAGATAAGAGAGGGCAGAGATTAGAGGATGGTTTATACAGAAGTTTCTAGGGTGAAGGTGATAACTTTAGGACTCCTGGCCCCCCAGGGTTATCCATATTTTTAAAAAGTCATGAAATAAACATCTGGAATGCCCTGAGAAGAGCCCCCAACTCACTGGCCCCTGGGCAACAATACATGTACCTACTATAAGCAAAAGGGCCATTGGCAATGAGAATGTCCTAACTGTCTCCAGTGAGAGAGAGAGAGAAAAAAAAAAAAAGCTTTCCATTGATATGAGTGCTAATCTTCTTCCACTAGCCAAAATGAGCTGCTTTGCTCAAGTAAGTTTACTGGGAGTCATGGAACTGGCTGACAGCTTCCTGCAGTGGCAGAAAAACAGCTGCCCAAACATTTTTCTTTGGTGTCTTCACTGCTGGAAGATCTTTCCAGTGTCTGAGGGGCTCTGGGTTCTACTGTTGAGTAACACAGTTTGTCCCCTCCCTTCTTTATTTCATGCTACAGGATCCTCCTTCCCTGCATTTTTCTGTTTTTCATACCTATGGGGGCATATTGGGAAATGAGAGCATATTAAGGGACAGGTGAAATATATTGTTCACAAATTATTGTATGTTAATTTAAGGTAACTATATATAGTGCTGCTACTACTATTAATAGAAATAATTCCTCCAACTGCTGTTATAATTTGAGTGCATACTATGTAACAGGTCTTATACTTGGCACTTATTCTAAAAATACTTCCATTTAATATTTACAATGATCTTTTGCATGGTATTATTAACTCACTTTATAAATGATAATATAAGGCTCAAACAGTTTAAGTAATATGCTAAGCAGAATGATGGCCTCCCCCAAACCTCACAATGATGTCCACATTCCAATCCCTGGAGCATATGAATAAGTTATATTACATAGAATGAGAGAGTTAAAAATGGAATTAATTGCTGATTAAAACTTGCAGATGAAATTAAGGTAATCAATTGACTATATTTTAATTTTTATTATTTTTTAATGTTTAATTTTTATAGATACATAGTGTATATATTTATGGGGTATGTGAGATGTTATGATACAATAATACAATACATAACAATCACATCAGAGTAAATGGGGTATCCATCACATCAAACATTTATCATTTCTTTGTGTTACAAACATGCCCATTATACTCTTTTAGTTTTTAGAAAATGTACAATAAATTATTGTTGACTGTAGTCAAACTTTTGTGCTATCAAATACTGGATCTTATTCCTTCTAACTAACTATTTTTGTACCCATTAGCCATTCCCACTCTCCCTCCTAATTCCCTGCCCCCCACTAAACGTTCTAACCTCTAGTAATGATTATTCTACTGTCTATCTCCATAAACTCAATTGTTTTCATTTTTAGCTCCCACAAATGAGTGAGAATATGCAAAGTTAGTCATTCTGTGCCTACCTTACTTCACTTAGCATTATTTGCTGCAGTTCCATCTATGTTGTTGAAAATGACAGAATGTTATTATTTATGTCTGAAAAGTACTCCATTGTCTGAAGGTACCACATTTTCTTCATCCATTCATCTGTTGATGAACCCTAAGGTTGCATCTAAATATTGGCAATTGCCAATAGTGCTGCTAAAAACATAGGAGTGCAGATATCTCCTTAATATACAGATTTCCTTTCTTTTCGGTATATACCCAGTAGTGGGCTTGCTGGATCATATGGTAGCTCTATTTTTAGCATTTTGAGAAACTTCCAACTCATCCTCCATAGTGGTTGTACTATTTTGCACTCCTACCAAAAGTGTACAAGGGTTCCCGTTTCTCCACATTCTTTTCAGCATTTGTTAATTGCCTGTCTTTTGGATAAATGCCATTCTAACTGGTGTTAGATGGCTTTGACTATTCTGGGTATTATGTGGTCCATATAAATTTTACGATTGTTTTTTCTATTTCTGTGAAGAATGTCATTGCGATTTTGATAGAGATTGAATTGAAGCTATGGATTACTTTGGGTAGTATGGACATTTTAACAATATTAATTATCCCAATCCATGAACATGAAATATATTTCCTTTTATATGGGCCCTCTTCAATTTCTTGCACAGGTGTTTTATAATTTTCATAAGAGCAATCTTTCACTTCACTGGTTAAGTTTATTCCTAGGTACTTTATTTTCTTTGTAGCTATTGTAAATGAGATTTTTTAAAATTTCTTTTTCAGATTGCTTGCTGTTAGTATATAGAAATGCTATTCATTATATAGGTTTATTTTGTATTCTGCGACATTGCTGAATTTATTTATCAGTTCTAGTAGCTTTGTGATGGAGTCTTTAGGATTTTCCAAACATAAAATCATATCATCTGCAAACAAGGACAATTTGACTTCTCCCTTTCCAATTGGAATGCCCTTCATTTCTTTCTCTTGTCTGATTGCTGTAGCTAGGACTTCCAGTAGTATGTTGAATATCAGTAGTGAGAGTGGTCATTTTTGTCTTGTTCCAGGTCTTAGCAGAAAGATTTTCAGTTTTTCTCCATTCAATATGATACTAGCTGTGGTGCTCTCATATATGGCTTATATTGTGTTGAAGTATGTTTCTTCTATACCCAATTTTTTGAGGGTTATGAAGAGATGATAAATTTTATAAGTGCTTTTTCAACATCAGTTGAAATTATCAAATTGCTTTTGTCTGTCATTCTGTTGATATGATGTATCTGATTGATTGATTGATTAGTGTATGTTGAACCATTCTTACATACCTAGGATAAATCCCCCTTGGTCATGATGAATCATCTTTATAATGTGCTGTTGAATTTGGTTTGCTAGTATTTTCTTAAGAATTTTGTCTGGTTTTAGTGTCAGGGTAATATTGGCTTTGTGAAATGATTTTGGAAGTATTCCTTCATTCTTTATTTGGCAGAATAGTGTGAGTAGGATTGGTATCAATTTCTCTTCAATAGCTTGGTAAAATTCACCAGTGAAGACATTGGGTCCAAGGCTATTTTTTTTTTTTTTTTTTTGAGACAGAGTCTCACTCTATTGCTCAGGTTGGAGTGCAGTGGCATGGTCTTGGTTCACTGCAAACTTGACCTCCCAAGCTTAGGTGATCCTCCCACCTCAGCCTCCCAAGTAGCTGGGACGACAGACGTGTACCACCATGTCTGGCTAATTTTTGTGGGGTTTTTTTGGTAGAGATGGGGTTTTGCCTTGTTGCCCAGGTTGGTCTCGAACACCTGCCTCAGCCTTCCAAAGTGCTAGGATTACAGATGTGAGCCACCATGCCAGCCTCCAGGCTTTTTCTTTTTTCTTTTTGCTAGGAGACTTTTCATTATGGCTTGTATTTTGAATTTATTATGGATCTTGTTTTATTTATTATGAATTGTATTACTTGATATTGATCTATTTAGGTTTTGGGTTTCTTCATGGTTCAGTCTTGATAGGTTGTATGTGTGTAAAAATTTATTAATTTTTCCTAGAATTTTTTGCTTGTTTTTATTTTATATTTTATTTCCATAGGGTTTTTGGGGAACAGGTGGTGTTTGGTGACATGAGTAAGTTCTTTAGTGGTGATTTGTGAGATTCAGGTGCACCCATCACCCTAGAAGTATACAATGTACCCAAATTGTAGTCTTTTATCTCTTACCCCCCTCCTGCCCTTTCCCTCAAGTTCCCAAAGTCCATTGCATCATTCTTATGCCTTCGCATCTTCATAGCTTAGCTCCTACTTATGAGTGTGAACATATGATGTTTGGTTTTCCATTCCTGAGTTACTTTACTTAGAATAATGCTCTCCAATTCCATCCAGGTTGCTGTGAATGCCATTATTATTTCATTCCTTTTTATGACTGTATAGTATTCCATGGTGTGTGTATATGTATGTGTATATATATATATATATATATATATATATCTGTGTGTGTGTGTGTGTGTGTGTGTGTATATGTGTGTGTATATATATATACACCATGGAATACTGTATATACATATACACATATATGTGTGTATATATATGTGTGTGTATATATATGTATACACCATGGAGTACTATTCAGTCATTTTATATATATATATATATATGTGTGTGTGTGTACATATATATACATATATACATATATATGTATATATATGTATATATATATATCACAATTTCTTTTTCCAATCATTGATTGATGGGCATTTGGGCAGGTTCCATATTTTTGCAATTGCAAATCATGCTGCTATAAACATGCATGGGCAAGTATCTTTTTTGTATAATGGCTTCTTTTCCTCTGGGTAAATACTCAGTAGTGGGATTGCTGGATCAAATGGTAGTTCTACTTTTAGTTTTTAAAGGAATCTACACACTGTTTTTCATAGTGGTTGTACTAGTTTACATACCCACCAGCAGTGTAAAAGGGTTCCTTTTTTGCCGCATCCCCGCCAACATATATTATTTTTTAATTTTGTGATTATGGCCATTCTTGCAGGAGTAAGGTGGAATTGCATTGTGGTTTTGATTTGCATTTCCCTGATCATTAGTGATATTGAGCATTTTTTATATGTCTGTTGGTCATTTGTATATCTTCTTTTGAGAATTGTCTATTCATGTCCTTAGCCCATTTTTTGATGGGATTGTTTTCTTCTTGCTAATTTGTTTGAGTTCCTTGTAGATTCTGTATGACAGCCCTTTATCAGATGTATAGATTGTGAAGATGTTCTCCCACTCTGTGGGTTGTTTGTTTGTTTACTCTGCTGATTTTTTATTTTGCTGTACAGAAACTTTTTAATTTAATTAAGTCCCACCTGTTTATGATTGTTTTGTTGCATTTCCTTTTGGGTTCTTGGCCATGAATTCTTTGCCTAAGCCAATGTCTAGAAGGGTTTTCCAACATCATCTTCTAGAATTTTTATGGTTTCAGGCCTTCGATTTAATTCCTTGATTCATCTTGAGTTTATTTTGTATAAGGTGAGAGATGAGTATCCAGGTTTATTCTCCTACATGTGGCTTGCCAATTATCCCAGCACCATTTGTTGAATAGGGTGTCCTTTCCCCACTTTTATGTTTTTGTTTGCTTTGTTAAAGATCAGTTGGTGGTAAGTATTTGGGTTTATTTCTGCATTCTCTATTGTGTTCCATTGGTCTATTTGCCCAATTTTAGACTAGTACCATGCTGTTTTGGTGGCTGTGGCTTTACAGTATAGTTTTAAGTTGGGTAATGTGATGCCTCCAGATTTGTTCTTTTTGCATAGTCTTGCTATGGCTATGTGGGTTCTTTTTTGGTTCCATATGAATTTTAGGATTGTTTTTTTCTAGTTCTGTCAAGAATGATGGTGGTATTTTGATGGGAATTACATTGAATTTGTAGATTGCTTTTGGCAGTATGGTCATTTTCACAATATTGATTCTACCCATCCATGAGCATAGGATGTTTTTCTATTCGTTTGTGTCATCTAAGATTTCTTTCAGCAGTGTTTTATAGTTTTCCTTGTGGAATTTCTAATTTATTGGCATATAATTGCTCAGTCTCTATTTTTTTTATAATTTCTATGTATTGATTTTAATGTCTTCTTTTCCATCTCTGATTTTATTTATGTAAGTCTACTGTCTTTTTTTTCTTAGTCTGGCTAAATATTTGTAAAATTTGTTTATCTTTTCAAAAAAACAACTTGTTACTTCATTGAAGCAAACAAAAAAAGATCAATTCAATTTATTTCTTCTGTGATCTTTATTATATCTTTTCTTCTACTAATTTTAGGTTTGGTTTGCTTTTGCTTTTCTAGTTCTTTACAATGCACTGTTAGGTTGTTTATTTCAAGTTTTTCTACTTTTTTTTACATAGATGCTTATTGCTATGAACTTTCCTCTTAGTATTGCTTTTGCTGTGTCTCATAGGTTTTGGTATGTTGTGTTTCCATTTTCATATTTCAAAAATGTATTACATTTCTTTCCTAATTTCTTCATGGATTCACTGGTGATTCAGAAGTGTATTGTTTAATTTCCATGTGTTTCTATAGTTTTTTTTTTTTTTTTTTTTTTTTTTTTTAAGATGGAGTCTCACTCTGTCACCCAGGCTGGGGTGCAAAGGTATGATCTCGGCTCACTGAAACCTCTGCCTCCCAGGTTCAAGCAATTCTCCTGCCTCAGTCTCCCAAGTAACTGGGGTTACAGGCACACAGTGCCATGCCCAGCTGTTTGTTTGTTTGTTTTGTTTGTTTGTTTGTATTTTAGTAGAGACGGGGTTTCACCGTGTTGCCCAGGCTGGTCTCGAACTCTTGAGCTCAGGCAATCCACCCACCTCAGCCTCCCAAAGTGCCAGGATTACGTTTGTGAGCCACCACGCCTGGCCAGGTATGTAGAGTTTTTAAAGTTCCTCCTGTTAATGATTTCTAGTTGTATTCCATTGTGGTGAATAAGATAATTGATTCATAAGATTTCAAATTTTTTAATGTTTTAAGACTTGTTTTGTGGCCTAAAATATGGCATACGCTTGAGAATAATTTATGTGCTGAGGAAAAGAATGTATTCTGCAGCCCTTACATGAAATGTCCTGTAAATATATATTAGATCCATTTGGTCTAGAGTGCAAATTAATTCCAGTATTTTCTTGTTAATTTTCTGTCTGAAAGATCTGTCCAGTGTTGAAGGTGGGCTGTTGAACTCTATGGCTCTTATCGTATTAGGACCTATCTCTCTCTTTTGCTTGAATAATATTTGCTTAATGTATCTGGATGTTCCAGTGTTGGGGGATATGTATTTAAAATTGTTATATCCTCTTGCTGAATTGACACCTTTATTATTTTATAGTGATATTTTGTCTCATAATTTTTTCTTGAAATCTATTTTGTCTGATAAAAATATAGTTATTCCTTCTCTCTCTTTTTTATGGTTTCCATTTCCATGGAATATCTTTATCCATCCTTTATTTTCAGTCCATGCGTGTCTTTACAGGGGCAGTATATTTCTTTAGGCAGAAAATAGTTGGATTTTTTTATTCATTCAACTGCTCTATGTCTTTTGATTGAAGAGTTTAGTCTATTTACATTCAATGCTATTATTTATAGGTAAGGACTTACTACTGCTCTTTTGTTGTTTTCTGGTTGTCTTGCGGTGTTCTCTTTCTTCCTTTTTTCTTTCCTTTCTGTCTTCCTTTATGTAAAAGTGATTTTCTCAGGTGTTATGTTTTAATGTCTTGCTTTTTATTTTTGTGAATCTGTTGTAGGTTTTTTGATTTGATGTTATCATGAGGCTTGCAAATAACATCTTATAACTGAGTATGTTACACTTATGACAACTTAACTCTGATTAAAAAGACTAACTAACAAGCAAAAGAAAACTAATAAAAACTCTACAATTCAACTTCATCCACCCTGCTTTTAAACTTTTTGTCATTTCTATTTACATCTTTTTAAAGGGTCTCTTTCTTGAATGTTGTTTTGTTATCATTTTTGATAGTACTTCTTTTAGTCTTCCTACTCAGTAGGAAGTAGTTTAAATGTGGAAGTAAGGAGTAGTTTAAATATGACAATTACAGTGTTATGGTATTCTGTATTATTATTAGATATTTATTAGCAGTGAGTGTTGTACCTTCAGATGATGTTTTCTTGCTTGTTAACGTCCTTTTTTTCCACATTAAAGAGCTCTCTTTACCATTTCTTGCAGGATAGGTCCTGTACTGATGAAATCCCTCATCTTAGTTTGTCCACAAAAGTATTTATTTCTCCTTCATATTGGAATACTATTTTTACTGGCTATAATATTCTAAAATAAATTTTATTTCCATCAAAGGCCAGACATAGGGGCTTATGCCTGCACTCCCAGTACTTTTGGATGCAAAGGTAGAAAGATTCCTGGAGGCCAGGAGTTTGAGTTCAGCCTGGGCAGCATAGCGAGACTCTGTCTCATATATATAGTGCTGAAGTTCCTTCAGCACTTTAAATAATTCATACCACTCTATCCTGGCCTGTTAGGTTTCCACTGTGAAGTCTGTTGCCAGATGTATTACAGCTCCCTTACACGTTATTTTTGTCTTCTCTCTGGAAGCTTTCAGTATCCTTTTAGTATCCTTTGATTATCCTTGAGTTTTGGGAGTTTGATTATGAAATGTCTTGATGTAGTCTTATTTTAGTTTAATCTGATTGGTGTTCTATAATTTTCTTGTATTTGAATATTGATATCTTTCTCTAGGTTTGGAAAGTTCCTTGTCATTATCTCTTTGAATAATCTCTCTACCCTGAGCTCGCTCTATCTCCTCTTTACACCAATTACTCTTAGATTTGCCATTTTGGGCTATTTTCTAGATTTTCTATGCATGCTTCATTCTTTCTTATTCTTTTTTCTTTTGTCTCCTCTGATGCTGTAGTTTCAAATAGCCTGCCTTCAAGCTCACTAATTTTTTCTTCTGCTTGATCAGTTCTGCTACTAAGAGACTCTGATGCATTCTTCAGTGCAGTAATTGTATTTTTCAACTATAGAATTTCTGCTTGATTATATATCTTTGTTAAATTTACCTGATAAGATTCTGAATTTCTTCTGTGTGACAGAGCACACATCTCTGTCACTCTGAGATTGTTCATTTGGTGACTTATTTTGTTCATTTGTAGAGGTAATGTTTTCCTGGATGATTTTGATGCTTGTGCGTGTTCACTAATGTCTGAACATTGAAGAATTAGGTATTTATTCCAATCTTCACAGTCTGGGCTTGTTTGAATTCATCCTTTTGGAGAAAGCTTTCTAAGTACTAAAAGAATATTGAGTGTTGTGATCTAAGTCTTTGGTCACTGTGGCCATATATGCACAAAAAGGTCTCCCAAGCCCTGTATCACTGTGATTCTTTTGGACTCATAGAAGTACCACCTTGATGATCCTGGGTAAGATAATTCTCTGGATTACCAAGCAAAGTATATTGTTCGATTCCTTTACTTTTCCCCAAACAAATGGAGTCTCTCTCTCTGTGCTGAGCTGCCTGGAGTTGGTGGTAGGACATGGGTATAATGCAAGCACTCCTCTGGCCACCACTTCTAAGACTGTTCTGGGTTAAATCTGACGGTAGCACAATACTGGGTCTTTTCCAAGGCCTGTGATGACCACTGCCTGGCTACCAGTGATGTTTATTCAAAGATCAAGGGCTTTTTACTCAGCAGGTGGTGAATTCTGCTAGGACTGAGTCTTTTCTTTTGGGGTAGCAGGTTTCCTTTTGGCCCAGAGTGAGTCTAGGAATGCTATCCAATACCTAGGGACTGAAATTATGGTGTCTGTTTGTTTGTTTGTTTGACAGAGTCTCGCTCTGTTGCCAGGCCGTAGTGCTGTGGCGCGATCTTGGCTCACTGCAACCTCCGACTTCCTGGTTCAAGGGATTCTCCTTCCTCAGCCTCCCAAGTAGCTGGGATTACAGGCATGCAACACTGCACCCAGCTAATTTTTGTATTTTTAGTAGAGACGGGGTTTCACCATGTTGGCCAGGATGGTCTCGATCTCCTGATCTCGTGATCCACCCACCACATCCTCCCAAAGTGCTGGGATTACAGGCATGAGCCACTGCACCCGGCCTGGAATTATGGGTTTTAGGAAGCTGCCAGGTGCTTTATTTTACTGTGGCCTTTCTGGTACCCAAGTTGCAAGACAAAATTCTTTTTACATTTTCATCTCCTTTCTCAAGCTGAAGGTATCTCTCATTATGGCCAGCACTGCCCGTGGCCTATGGCAATTATCACCTGGCTACCACTAATGTTTATACAAAATCCAAGGGCTCTTTAGTCAGCTGGTTTTGAATCCTGCAAGGTCTAGCTATTTTCCTGCAAGGCAGCAAATTTTCTTCTGGCCCAGAGTGGGTCTAAAAATCCCATCCAGGAACTAAGGCCTGGAATCACAGACTTTAGGAGTTTGCTTGATGCATTATTCTACTGTGGCTGAGCTGATACCCAAGTGGCAAGACAAAGTCCTTTTTACTCTTCCTTCAGTTTTCCTCAAGCAAAAAGAGTCACTCCCCATGGCCACCACAGCTGGGAATGCACTGGGTCACACCGGAAGCCAGAACAGTACTAAGTCTTGTCCAAGGTCTGTGGCAACTACTACCTGGCTACTGCTAATGTTTACTCAAGGGCCATGAGCCAAGGAATCTTGGCCCCCTTCCATCTTCAAAACCAACAATGGCCAGTCTAATCTTTCTCATGATGTTGTCTCTCTGATTCTGACTCCTGTGCCTCTGTCTTTCCCACTTAAAGTCCCTTGTTGTTATATTGGATCTACTTGGATAAAACTCTCCATTGGTGATTCCTGTCACAGAAACATCAAATTGGACAACCATCAATACAAGAAAGCACCTTTGTAAGAACCAAAAAACAAGTGGGTGACTAAAGTACCTGGTTTTGAAGGTGTCAGAAAGACTTCATTTCTTTCTAACTGTATGGTACAACTGCTTTTTTGAATATTCCACCTTCTAGGGGCCTTTGTGTGCTCTCAGGTATAATGCTTCTGGAGACATTGCATCTTTACCCAGCTTTCTTGGGTACAGCATGTGACTCAAGTGAATCTAACTAAAGTTTTCTATTTCCATCTAGCAAAATGGTTACTTGAGGGACAGGAGCATGACACAAGTTAAGCCAGTTGGGTCCAGTCTCAATTTTTTTAACTATCAGAAAAAATGAATTACTTATTCCTTGCTAGATGTGAAAGAGACCACAGAGGAAGTGTATTTGCTGCAGTCATTTTGTGACTATGTGCTACTTATAAATAGACCAATACTTAAGTAGAGCCATAAAATAGAAAGAAAACCCCATCCAGGTAAAATTATGTGAACACTGAATCAAGCATTTAAGAAAACTATGTCAACTATTTAACTATACATTCATCATGAGCCAACATATTTGTGTCTTTCTGTCTTTTTTTTTTTTTTTGAGATGGAGTTTTGCTCTTGTTGCCCAGGCTGGAGTGCAATGGCATGATCTCAGCTCACCGCAACCTCTGCCTCCCAGGTACAAGCGATTCTCCTTCCTCAGCCTCCCAAGTAGCTGGGATTACAGGCATGCACCACCACACCTGGCTAATTTTGCATTTTTAGTAGAGACGGGCTTTCTCCATGTTGGTCAGGCTGGTCTGGAACTCCTGACCTCAGGTGATCTACCCACCACGGCCTCCTAAACTGCTGGGATTACAGGAGTGAGCCACCGCACCCGGCCTCTGTGTCTTTGTTTAAAGCACTTTGAGTTAGGGTTTCTGATTCATGAAACAGAAAGCATTCTCACTAATATATTATTTACCTAACTTTACACTGCTAAATAGCCAGTATCATAACTACAACACAAATTTTCTTAACATTAAACCCTAATTGCTATACTTAATTTCCAAAATCAGTATACATAGTACTTGCTCCAGGATAATCATGTTAGAATCACAAACTCTGAAGACATACATTTTCATTTTCTCCATCCTTATATTTCAGAGTCACCAATTTGACCATTTAGAACTTCTTTCCAGTGGTTGGATTATCTGTGCAATATTGTGACCGTTTATTATTGAAGAGATAGAGGTCTGGGCCGGGCGCAGTGGCTCATGCCTGTAATCCCAGCACTTTGGGAGGCCGAGACGGGGGGATCACAAGGTCAGGAGTTCGAGACCATCTTGACTAACACGGTGAAACCCCATCTCTACTAAAAATACAAAAAATTAGCCGGACATGGTGGTGGGTGCCTGTAGTCCCAGCTACTCAGGAGGCTGAGGCAGGAGAATGGCGTGAACCTGGAAGGCGGAGCTTGCAGTGAGCCGAGATTGTGCCACTGAACTCCGGCCTAGGCAACAGAGCGAGACTACGTCTCAAAAAAAAAAGAGATAGAGTTCTGTGTGTGTGTGTGTATATATATATATATATATATATATATATATATACACACACACACTACACACATACACACATATATATCCCTACTAAAACTATATATAATCCCTAAATACATATATTTCTATATATATATATCCCTACTAAAACTATATATATACATATATTTATACACTATATATATATATTTATACACTATATATATATATATATCCTTACTAAAACTAAAGGTGTGTTTAATGTAATTAAGAAGCCTAAATGTAAAAACTTAAGGCAATTGAGAAGTAGTAACCTGTTTAAAATTATGCATCAAGCTGTGGTAGAGATAGGAAAATAACTCAAGATTCTTAATTATTACAACAATTATTCCACTGATAGAGTTGCAACAAACCTCAGTCAAGACATGATGAAAAAAACACAATGAGGGTTTTTCACTGTGACAAATAAAGCACTGTGGAATTTCACAATCATGGTTTGCCTACCACAGATCACAAAATGCTTATTGGTTTTGTTTCCTCTCAAAATAAGTATTTATCTGATTATTTCAGAAAAGAGAGTTGGATTGTTCACTGCAATTTTGTGTGTCACCTTTTGGCTGGGAACCTGAACTAAATAATGTAAACTCAACAACTCCACCCATATGTCAATGTAACCCTGGCCCTCCACTGCAAAAGTATCTCCACCACAAACATTATAACTCTTAATAGTTTATAAACATTTTTCTCTAAAATTAAATTGTAAACCACTTAAGGGAAGGAAAAAGTGGTTCATTATCAGGGATCATCAGGAGACAAATGATCTCTATATGATTTTTTATAAAGCAAATGCAATCAATCTGTCAAAACATAGATGTTGATAACATCAAATGTTTATGGATATGTGGAGAAATTAGAACTTTCATCTGTTACTGGGAAACATGTTAGTTGCAATTACAATTGTAGTTAATGTGGCAGTATCTATTAAACTTTAAAATGCATATACTTTTAACCAGCAATTCTAAATTCTAGGACTGTCTCTAACAGAAACAAAAGCTCAAGTACTTAAGCCCAAGGATGTTAATTACAGCATTATCTATATTGGCAAAAAGAAGTGCCCATTCTTGGTGTCCATTAATGATATAATTTTAGAATAAATAATGGTACAATTATGGTACAGAATAACTACTCGGTTATTAAAACAAATGAATTAAATTTATATGTAATGATATGGAAAAATCTTCTTGCTATGTAGTACATTTTAAAAATTGATAAAATATGCATAGGGCAATCAAACTTTTTAAAGTATTTAAAATATATATATATATATATATTCTTTTTTTTTTTGAGACAGGGTCTCACTCTGTCACACAGGCTGAAGTGCAGTGGCACGATCATGACCCATTGCAACCTCAACCTCCTGGGCTCAAGCAATCCTCCCACCTCAGCTTCCAGAGTAGCCTGGACCGCAGACACACACCACAACATCCAGCTAATTTTTATTTATTTATTTATTTTTTTGTAGAGACTGGATCTCACTGTGTTGCCCAGGCTGGTCTCAAACTACTGGGCTCAAGTGATCCTCCTGCTTCAGCCTCCCAAATTGCTTTTTAGGATTACAGATGTGAGCCACTCCATCAGGCCAATTTTGCTTTTAAAAATTCAACTACCTTTAGCAAAGAATTGATTTTTTTCAAATTAATGAGTAAAAATTGTATGTATTTGTGGTATACTACATGATGTTTTAGTATATGTATACAATGCAGAATGGCTAAATCAGGCTTTTTAATATATACATTACCTCTCACTATTTTTTTATAGTGAGAACACTTAAAATCTCTCAGCAATTTTCAAATATAAAATATATTGTTATTAACTATAGTTGCCATCTTGCACAAAGATCTCTTGAACTTATTCCTCCTGTCTGACGGAAATTTTGTGTCCTTTGAACAACATCTTTTAATTTTCTTCAATCTTCAGCTCCTGGTAACCATCATTTTACTCTCTGTTTCTATGAATTTGACTTTTTTACATTCTACAGATAAATAAGATTATTCAGCACTTGTCTTTCTGTGCCAGAGAAAAAGACATTTTATTAATATATGGCATTTAAAACTAAGTAACAGGAATGGGAGAATACATGATCTCTTAAAGATTACATAGGCAAGAGACATTGTAGAGATCATCAAGAGATGATTTAACTTTTTTACTCCATGCAATTTTATTTTAATTGCCATAATGTATTCTTGTTTTAATTAAAATTCACAGATTTATGTTCAAAGAAAACAAAAAAAGCACAAAATAAATTAACCCAAGAAAAGCATTGGTTATGCTCTTCTTGGGTATCTATTTTTGGTAGTGTGTTAAGGCCAAATCGAGGGTTTATAATTATTTAGTACTGTTCTTATTAACTGGCCATTTGGAGATGAAATTACCTTCATCATTAATATGTGTATGTGTACTATTAACATTAAAAAAAAACCTGGCTGTAGACTTACTTTTTATGTATATATATGCTATAAGTTCTGGGATACATGTGCAGAATGTGCAGGTTTGTTACATAGTTATACACATGCCATGGTGGTTTGCTGTACCCATCAACCCATCATCTACATTAGGTATTTCTCCTAATGCTATCCTTCCCCTAGCCTCCCACCCACTGACAGACCCCGGTGTGTGATGTTCCCCTCTCTGTGTTCATGTGCTCTCATTGTTCAACTCCTACTTACGAGTGAGAACATGCGGTGTTTTGTTTTCTGTTCCTGTGTTAGTTTGCTAGGAATAATGGTTTCCAGTTATATCTATGTCCCTGCAAAGGACATGAAGTCATCCTTTTTTATGGCTGCATAGTATTCCATGGTGTATATGTGCCACATTTTCTTTATCCAGTCTGTCATTGATGGACATTTGGGTTGGTTCCAAGTATTTGCTACTGTGAATAGTGCTGCAACAAACATAAATGTGTGTCAGTCTTTATAGTAGAATGATTTATAATCCTTTGGGTATATACCCAGTAATGGTACTGCTGGGTCAAATGGTATTTCTCGTTCTAGATCCTTCAGGAATCGCCACACTGTCTTCCACAATGGTTGAACTAATTTGCACTCCCACCAACAGTGTAAAAGTGTTCCTATTTCTTCACTCCTCTCCAGCATCTCTTGTTTCCTGACTTTTTAATGATCGCCATTCTAACTGGTGTGAGATGGTATCTCATTATGGGGATGGTTTTGATTTGCATTTCTCTAATGATCAGTGATGATGAGCTTTTCCTCATGTTTGTTGGCCACATAAATGTCTTATTTTGAGAAGTGTCTGTTCATATCCTTCTCCCACTTTTTGATGGTGTTGTTTGTTTTTTTCTTGTAAACTTGTTTAAGTTCCTTGTAGATTCTGGATATTAGCCATTTGTCAGATGGATAGTTTGCAAAAATTTTCTCCCATTCTGTAGGTTGCCTGTTCACTCTGATGATAGTTTCTTTTGCTGTGCAGAAGCTCTTTAGTTTAATTAGACCCTATTTGTCAATTTTGGCTTTTGTTGTCACAACATATGCAAATCAATAAATGTAATCCATCACATAAGCAGAGCTAATCACAAAAAAACACACGATTATCTCAATAGATGCAGAAAAGGCCTTTGAGAAAATTCAACACCCCTTCATGCTAAAAACTCTCAATAAATTAGGTATTGATGGAACGTTTGTCAAAATAATAAGAGCTATTTATGACAAACCCAGAGCCAATATCATACTAAATGAGTAAAAGCTGGAAGCATTCCCTTTGAAAACCAGCACAGGACAAGGATCCCTTCTCTCCACACTCCTATTCAACATAGTATTTGAAGTTCTGTCCAGAGCAATCAGGCAAGAGGAAGAAATAAAGCATATTCAAATAGGAAGAGAGGAAGTCAAATTGTCTCTGTTTGCAGATGACATGACTGTATATTTAGAAAATCCCATTGTCTCAGCCCAAAATCTCCTTAAGCTGATAGGCAACTTCAGCAAAGTCTCAGAATACAAAATAAATGTGCAAAACTCACAAGCTTTCCTATGTACCAGTAATAGACAAATGGGGAGCCAAATCATGAGTGAACTCCCATTCACAATTGCTACAAAGAGAATAAAATACTTAGGAATACAACTTACCAGGGATGTGAAGGACCTCTTCAAGGAGAACTACAAACCACTGCTCAAGGAAATAAGAGAGGACAGAAACAAATGGAAAAACATTCCATGCTCATGGATAGGAAGAATCAATATTGTGAAAATAGCCATACTGCCCGAAGTAATTTATAGATTCAATGCTATCCCCATCAAGCTACCATTGACTTTCTTCACAGAATTGGAAAAAACTACTTTAAATTTCATATGGAACCAAAAAAGAACCCATATAGCCAAGACAATTCTCAGCAAAAAGAAGAAAGCTGGAGGCATCACACTACCTGATTTCAAACTATATTACAAGGCTATGGTAACCAAAATAGCATGGCACTGGTACCAAAACAGATATATAGACCAATGGAGCAGAGCAGAGTCCTCGGCAATAATGCCACACATCTACAAACATCTGATCTTTGACAAACCTGACACAAACAAGCAATGGGGAAAGGATTCCCTATTTAATAAATGGTGTTTGGAAAACTGGCTAACCATTTGCAGAAAACTGAAACTGGACCCCTTCCTTACACCTCATACAAAAATTAACTCAAGACATGACTAGGCAAAGACCATGACTAGACTTCTTAAGAAATTTTGCCTTAGTGTCAGAAGGTTTTGCAACTCATTAGCTATAATAGTATTAAAAATGTATTCTCTCTAAGCCTCAATGTCTTTGTACATTAATGTGGTTAATAATAGCTACCTCACAAAGTTATTGGGACAAAAATTGATCTTGTATGTAATATGTTAGTAAAGTGCTTGACACAGTAAATGCTAAATAGATGCTAGGTACAACTACTGTTAGTAATATTAGGTCAACAATAATAATATTAGCATAAGCGGTAGCAGTATTAACAGTCATCATCATTGTCATTGTTGTTATCATTGTCATTGTAGCAGTAGTAGTAGTAGTGGTGGTAGTAGTAGCAGTAGTGGTAGAAGTAAATTGACAAGAGCATCTTCAAGTTAAATGCTATGTCTATCCATCTCAACAATCATCTACTTTTATGAGTTGTGTTCAATATAAGTCCTTTCAGAAGTAGATGTATACAAGTAGCACTGTTCCTGAAACTGGAATATCAACCTTAATCCTTTTCTAGTCCCCTTCATTAGTACTTCAGTACCGGAAGCTGTGCTTCAAAGTCACTTTGAAGAGTTTCATACTTCTGCCTCTCACAATAGCCTGCCATTAGGGATTCTGACCAGTGTGAGATCTGCTTATACAATGTTAATGTCCAGGCCACACAAAAAGCTTTTAAAGCAAAGCATTAATGTCACCAACATTTCATACAAATGAAATGCAGAAATACCATATACAGTGCATTTTATTTCTTGAAGAATTTTTCACAACGTTCTGCTAAATTAGCTGTAGGTGATACCTAAATAAATGAATAAATAAAGTTTTAGAGCACAGCTAAACTATAAATATTGGGACATTGTCATGACAGGCAAATCCTGCTGGGAAGGTCATGCATGTAGAATGTATAGTAACAGATCTTCCACTGAGCTCTTAAATAGTTCATTTCAATGAAATAATCATAATATATCTACAATAGGTTAATGAAAAAAATTAAATCATCTTACTATTTTATAAGTTAAGGGAACTTTTTGTTCCCGTAACTCACAACAGACTTTTTGTTTGTGAGTTGACTTATTTATCTATCCATCCTGTCTCCATTCAACCATCCATCAATCTATCAAGTCAGTCAATTATTTATTTCTTAAATTTTAAATCTTATTTCATTTTATTCTACTGAGTATCTTTTATACTCAAGGCCTGTCATTAAATATTTGATACTTAAAAAGCACTTAGATACTGGAAAATAAATAAGACAAGCTTTCTGCTCTCAAGGATATCACAACTAATAAAAGAACTAGCTCTAGTATACAGCAAAATAAGATCTGATATTATAAAGGAATACCCAATGTATTTAAAAGTACAGAGGAATGAGAAACTGATTCATATTGGTATTGTTAAAGAAGAACTTGTAGAGCACATGGCATTTTTATGATCCACTAACAATAAGTAAATTTGAATTGGTTAAGGCAAGTAATTTAAGGCTGAGGGTGCAGAATGAGCAATGTCACCCAGGTATAAAAATATACAACATCTGTGTCTAGACCCTGTCTCTTTGGAAATATTGCATCCATATGCACCCATATAAACAGAAATTTCCATAAGGTGTCAATATTTGACACATGTATGAGTAGAGAAAAATTTCTATAGTCAGATGGATCTTAGGCAAAATAATTTAGGAGGAGATCCTAGTTATATAAAGTCATGTTCAAAGAAATCTGTTCATTCAAACTGTGGCAACTGACACATTATTTCGTTTTTTACATATTGATAAATAAATAAATGTATAAATAAATATTTAAGTATGATTTACCGGTGACAGAGTAAGACTCCCAAAGTGGTCAATTTCACTGTCTTTTACTGGATCCTTCTCCATCATTATTAAAGATTTTCATATTTACTTGGAAGTTAAAGCCATCTTTCATGACACTAGATGTATTAGTTTGCTCTCACACTGCTATAAACATACTACCTGAGATGGGGTAATTTATAAATAGAAGATGTTTAATTGACTCACAGTAACACATGGCTGGGAAGACCTCAGGAAACATACAATCATGGTGGAAGGTAAGGGAGAAGCAAGCACATCTTACATGGCAGCAGGAGAAAGAGAAAGAGCAGGAGAAACTGCCACTTTAAAAACCATCAGATCTCATGAGAAATCCTTCACTATCATGAGAATAGCTTTGGGGAAACTGCCCCATGACTCAGTCACCTTCTACCATGTCTCTCCCTCAACATGTGGGGATTAAAATTGGAAATGAGATTTGGGTGGGGACACAGAGCCAAACCATATCATTCCAACCCTGGTCCTTCTCAAATCTCAGGTTTTATTCACATTTTAAAACCATGCCTTCCCAATAGTCCCCCAAAGTCTTAACTCACTCCAGCATTAACTCAAAAGTCTAAGTCCTAAATCCTTATCATCTGAGATAAGGCAAGTCCCTTCCACCTACGAGCCTGTAAAACCAAAACCAAGTTAGTTAATTCCATGATACAATGGGGCTACAGCCATTGGGTAAATGTTCCTGTTCCAAATGGGAGAAATTGGCCAAAACTAAGGGACCACTGACCCCATGCAAGTACAAAATCTGGCAGGGTACTCATTAAATCTTGAAGCTCCAAAATAATCTCCTTTTACTCCTTGTCTCACTTCTGGGGCACACTGAAGCAAGGGATGGGCTCCCAAGGCCTTGAGCAGCTCTGCACCTGTAGCTCTGCAGGGTACAGCCCCTGAAGCTGCTTTCAAGAGCTGGCATTGAGTGCCTGTGGCCTTTCCAAGCACATAATACAAGCTGTTGGTGGATCTACCATTCTGGGGCCTGGAGGGTAGTGGCTCTCTTCTCACAGCTCCAATAGGCAGTGCCCCAGTGGAGACTCTATCTGGGGGCTCCAAGCCCACATTTCCCCTCTGCATTGCCCTAGTAGAGGTTCTTCATGAAAGCTCTGCCCCTGCAGCAGACTTCTGCCTGGACATCCAGGCCTTTCCATACGTCCTCTGAAATCTAGGTAGAGGTTCCCAGGTCTCAACTCTTGCTTTTTGCACACCTGCAGGCCCAAAACCACATGGAAACCACCAAGGCTTGGGGCTTGCACCCTCTGAAGCAATGACTGGACCTGTACCTTTGCCCCTTTTAGCCGTGGCTGAAGCTGGAGCAGCCATGATGCTGAGTGTTATGTCTTAAGCCTACACAGAGAAGTGGGGCTCTAGTCCTGCCCCAGAAAACCATTTTTCCCTCTGAGGCTTCTAGGCCTGTAGTAAGAGGATCTACTGCAAAGTTCTCTGAAATGTCTTGGAGGTATTTTCCCTATTGCCTTGGCTATTAACATTCAGCTCCTCTTTACTTATGAAAATTTCTGCACTGTGCTTTAATTTCTTCCCATAAAATGTGTTTTTTCTTTTCTACCACATAATTAGGCTGCAAATTTTCCAAACTTTTAGACTCTGCATCCCTTTTAAGCATAAGTTCCAATTTCCAACTATCTTTTTGTGAAAGCATATAACCGAACACTTTTGGAATAAAGCAGGTCACCTCTTGAATGCTTTGCTGCTTAAAAATTTATTCTACCAGATACCCTAAATCATGTCTCTGAAGTTCAAATTTACACAAATCTCTAGGGCAGGGGATAAATGCCACCAGTCTCTCTGCTAAAGCATAGCATGAGTGAGCTTTTCTCCTGTTCCAATACGTCTGTCATCTCCATCTGAGAACACCTCAGCCTGGACTTCATTGTTCATTATCACTATTAGCATTTTGGTCAAAACCATTTATCAAATCTCTAGAAAGTTCCAAATTTTCCCACATTTTCCTGTCCTCTTTTGAGCCCTCCAAACTGTTTCAACCTCTGTCTGTTACCCAGCTCCAAAGTCACTTCTACATTTTTTAGGTTATCTTTATAGCAGTGCCCTACTCCAAGTACCAACTCTCTGAATTATTTCATTTTCATGCTGCTGTAAATAATACTACCTGAGACTGGGTTATTTGTAAACGAAAGAGATTAATTGACTCACAGTTCTACATGGCTGGGGACACCTCGGGAAATTTAAAAATGTGGTGAAAGGTGAAGGGGAAGCAGGTGCCTTCTTCACATATGGAGAAGGTTCCTACTTATTTCTATTTAGAAATAGACTTTAGGTAACCACAATTTCAGAATTAGATCATTTCAATACCAAAATTTTCTGCCAATTTGCCCTCACCATCATCTTGTGTCTACATAAACTTTGTGGTTGGCTCTTTAGATTGTTGATTTATTATTATTATTATTATTGTTATTGTTGTTGTTGTTGTTATTTACTGCCCACTTTTGAGACACATTTGTTAGTTTCCTCTGGTAAGCATCAGTGTCTTTTGTAAAGAATTTGGACTGTGTGTTTTGGTGAAGAGTGTGTCATGCAATCATGGGCAAGGAAAAATTCTGTACATTAATGTTGAATATTATCACACAGTATGGTTAGCAAAGGCTATTACATTTACCAGGGAACTAGTATCTTACTGTACATGGAGGATATGAGTCAGAAAATAAACTGCCCAATAATAACCATCAATGTCCTATAATGTGCATGGTGGGTGGTGGCTGGGGAGAGATTGGTGGTAGGTAGATTAGAGATTTGAGACATATCTTATCTGCTACAGTAATTGTTATAATTTAGGTCATTAATCAATAAGAGGACATAAAATTTATGGATCATAGCTCCTCAAAAATCACACACATACATGCTTTAGCATACAACTTTAGTGAAATTGTGAAAACCTTGCAATCTTATCCATAGGGCCTAAATTAAGAAAAGATTAAATGCTAGCCCCTTATGAAACAGCATAGTACAGAGAGATAAACAGCGGGGAAGATATATTTCTGTGAATTTGCTATTTTCTAAACAGAATCTAGATTCCAAGATTCTTTAGGTTAGAGAAAATTTTGTAATGAACTGACTCCAACAGCTAACATATTGATTGGTACTATATAGAAAGTAGGAAATAAATGATGAATTAACACAATAATAATCTTTTTTTTTTTTTTTTTTTGAGACGGAATCTCGCTCTGTCGCCCAGGCTAGAGTGCAGTGGCACGATCTTGGCTCACTGCGAGCTCTACCTCCCAGGTTCACGCCATTCTCCTGCCTCAGCCTCCCGACTAACTGGGACTACAGGTGCCTGCCACCATGCCCAGCTAATTTTTTGTATTTTTAGTAGAGATGGGGTTTCACCATGTTGGTCAGGCTGGTCTCGATTCCTGACCTCGTGATCCGCCTGCTTCATCCTCCCAAAGTGCTGGGATTACAGGCGTGAGCCACCGCGCCAAGCCAATAATAATCTTTTGGAAAGGTGAATTAGATGAAATAGTTGACAATGGGCCTTTAGAGCACTATTAGGAATGGAACATCTTGATCCACTCTCCTTAACATTGAATTTTATTCTCATAGTTGAAACATTGATAATCTACCTCCAGGAAAAGAAAAAGAGTGTTATAGTCTAAACTGTATTACCCTCTTAAATTCATGTGTTGACATCCTAACCTCCAGTACTTCAGAATGCAACCATATTTGGAGTTTGGGTCTTTAGAGAGGTAATTAAGTCAAAACGTGGTCGTTAGGTGAACTGTAATCCAATGTGACTGGTGTACTGATAAGAAGAGGGAATGTGGATACAGATACAAGCACAGGTCAAACAATATGAAGACACAGGGAGAAGATGGTCATCTACAAGCCAACAGAGAGACCACAGAGGAAACCAACTCCACTGACACCTTGATTTTGACTTGTAGACTCCAGAACTGTGAGAAAAATAACTTCTGTTATTTAAGCTTGCCCAGGCTATGGTACACTGTTATGGCAATCCTACAAAACTAATCCAAAGAGTAAAGGTTAAAATGGATATGCTAGCTGGTGTGTAGATATCTGCTTACTTCTCATTGACCAGAACTGTGTGGCACCAAAACAAACACGTTCCATTAGTAAGAAGCAGTAAGGGGAAAACATATAAGTGATATCTAGAATCTCTCTTCTTTCACTGAAATAAACATAAAAATTAGCTATTTATTCTTTAAGTCCAGATTCCCTGTACCTTTTTAGGTGATAATTATCAAAGACTAGTGGAAATAACATGAATATCTCATATTCTAGATTCACGGTCTTAGACTGATCAGTGCAACTGTTTCTCTACTGATTCATCTGTATAAGGGAATTTAAAATGTAGAACTTTGTTAAAGGTGAGAGCAAATGCATATAAAACCACCAGCTCCATCTCTGCATTCCGTAGAAGCCCCAAAGCATCACTATTGTTATTATATAAATTGATATCGTAAACTTTACATATGCTTAAGACTCACTGCTACCCTTGTACACCGAATGCCTCTTATCTGTATTGTCTTACAACCATATTGACAAATACACACAAAATTCTGCTGAGAAAAAAATGCTACAATAAATGAAGTGGAGGTGTAACCTTTGGTTTCCTCTGCAGGGATAGTGGAAGAATTTACATTTTCAGAGAAAAGAGGGTGTCTTTTTAACAATAATGCAAAATTAATGATTATTCCGCTGAGAACATTAGAAATAAAATCAGTACTCAGCATAGTTACTTTTCATTTATTTAAAAATTTCAGCAAGAAAATATAAACATTCACTAAACAATGTTCAATTATTTTGTTTGTGTCTTTCTATTCTGAGAGAGACTCCAATGCATATCTCTATGTGTTGGTTAAAGATTGGACAGCAGAAACTGTCAAAATCTGGCATAGTCTCTTTATGGCATATTTTAATAGAATCACTTAAAACTGATTTAGTGCAACTGTAGAACAATTAATTAATTAAATAACTTATGATTACAGTAAATTAAGTTGAATTGGCTTTGCTATCGCTACTGCATAGTTTTATAAGTTATTTGGAAAAAGGTCAAACACAATAATTTTAAATCTTATTTTATTATATTAAAAATTACTCATGGATACATGTATATGTAGCTGTAGATTTAGGTAATATGGGTACATAAATTAATACAATTTCACTTGAAGAGTACATAATACTTTTCATTTATAGTACAGAATTTTTCTCTCCTTCAAAATCTCAAAAGACTGATACAGATCCTGAATACATATATTATTTCTCAATACAAGAAATTAGGAGCAGAAGAGCACAGTTAAAATATGTACTTTGCTTTTACTCATCAAATCGTTCCTTAATATCAGTTACTTATTATGAATCAAATAAATTATTCTAAAAACTGCTGTTACTATAGAGCAGAAAAACATAGCCAACCTGAACATAGGTTATATCACCTGTAGTTCTGTTTTATCACATGTGAAATGCAAGATTTAGTAAAATATTCATGTCATTTGTATCAATTAAAAAATCAGGCTACTACAGAAAAGGAGAAATATAAACAACAGAATATACTCTCACAAATAACTATAATAAAGCATTATTAATCAAAATTTAAAACAGCCAATAAAAGCTCCAAAAATTCAAATGTACACCACTGAACACCAAATTAGTAATCTAAAAGATCGACATGAGCAATTATGAGGAACCATATCAAAGCACATATTATTTGCTCTACATGGAAACCTCTTTGCCTCTATTTACTTAGCTAAGTCTACTCATTTAATGTCTCAACTTAAACATCACTTTCACAGGGAAGCTTTATCTCACTGCACCCAGATCCTTCATCTCTGTGTTGTGTTTCCTTTGCCTTATGTATTTCTTCTTCTCAGAAATGTATAGCTGTGCAATTATTTAAGTAATCATAATTATTTATTAAATATTATCCATATAAAGTGTATATCTGTTGTTTAACTATCTGCTCAATGTAGGCAGCTAACCTCAGCATTAGTGCATGGATTGGCACATCACTCACTAGGTAAGTGTTTTGTTATTGTTTTATGAAGTGGTCAATTAGGTGTGGCCACCAGAGTGTTAATGGTGGAGGGTGACCAGATTCTTGGCATCTTGAACAAAGAATTGGACAAAACACACAAACAAAGCAAGGAAGGAATGAAAGGATTTGTTGAAAATGAAAGTACACTCCACAGTGTGGGAGCAGGCATGAGCATAGGGGCTCAAAGGCCCCGTTACAGAAATTTTGGGAATTTAAATACACCCTAGAGGATTCCATTGGTTACTTTGGGTACGCCCTATGTAAATGGAGAGGATGAAGTAAAGTTACAGAATCATTTACGGCCTACGCCATGTGGAGAGAACATTTCCTGTTATAGCTGAAGTGTGAATCGGCCTTATGTTCCCTGCCTACAAACACTATTTTCCTCACTCAAGAGGAGACAGAGTAGAGGTTCAGGAAAAAACAAAGTTGATTATATTTACAGGTACAAGAGACAAGAATCACAGGCAGAGCACGTCCCCACATAACCACGTGGGGAAGACACCAAGATTCTTAGGAGGAAGAAACAAAGACAGAAATAAGGGAAAGGTTTAGGCCATTGCCTTTATTGGGGATTCTGCTGAAAAGGCAAGGCAGGGCAGGGTGAATAATTTTGGATTGAGGGATCTGAATAATTTCAGAGGGTTTTGGATTGTAGATATGGAGGTCTCTAGCTGCCTGGTACCTGGCCCTGGGTTGATTAAGGCAGAGGAATATTGTCTTCTGGGGTGTAAGGGCCAGATTGAGGAGGTATAGCTCTGGATTATTTAGTTTCCATATCAAAGACATGCTTCTGAGTAGGCCTTTTGTTACTTGTAAGAATTGGCTAGTCCTGAAAGGAGCAGTCTCTCTAGCCAGAAAGGGTTTTTAAAATATCAAAACATCATAATATACGGAAAATGTTTTTAAACATTTACAATGCAATAAGTGTAATTTTTTCTTCTTTCGGACTACAGATATGGGGGGTTGAGTTAATTACATTCTTCGCCTCTTGATAAATAACCATCATTGCCCATAGAAAGCTCATCTCTTATTTAATTGCTCATTCTCTTTTATTTTAATTCCCCAGTACCATACACACACACACACACACACACACACACACACACACACACACACACACTGCAGAGTATATTTTAACATACTATATTTATTGGGATTTGTGTATTTATATAAAATATGTGTTTTTTTAATTTGCATGCATTTTAATCAATTTTAATCAGATGTGTAAAAGTTTCAAAACAGTTCAATAAATTTTGACACATACTATAAGGTCTCATTGTGTCACTCAGGCTGGAGTGCAGTGGGGCTCAATCACAGCTCACTTCAGCCTCAACTTCCAGAGCTCAAGGGATCCTCCCACCTCAGCCTCTGGAATAGCTAGGACTACAGGTGCGAGCCACCATGCCCAGCTAACATTGTTTATTTTGGTAGAGATGAGGTGTCACTATGTTGCCCAGGCTGATCTGGAACTCCTGGGCTCAAGTGATCCTGCTGCCTCAGCCCCGCAAAGTGCTTGGATTACAGACATGGCGAAATGCAGAACATTTCTATTCCTTCAAAAATGTTTCCTCATGCCTCTTTGCAAAGAATATCTTACCCTAGTTCTAGATAACCAATGATGTGGTTTCTATTGTCAGTTTTGCCTATTCAGAAATTTTATATAAATAGAATCATTCAGGACACACTATTTGGAGTATGACTCCTTTTACTAAGCATACATTTTGAGATTTATTCATGTTTTTGTGTTTATCTGTAGTTTATGCCTTCTCTTTGTTGAATAATTATTTACACTATGAATATACATTTTAAAAGTTCCTTCAAGTGTTGATGGATTACTTCTGCAGGCTCACATCTGCTGTTGTGCTTCTTTAGTAAATCTTTTATTTTTGTTACTGTACTTTTCAATCCCAGAATTGTTATTTTGCTCTATTTTATAATATCCATTTCTTTATTTAAATTCTGTCTTTAATAAGATACATTTTTCATACTTTCTTTTAGTCCTTTGGATATGATTTCCGTTAGTTCTTTGAACAAACTTCAAATAACTGGTTTAAAAAGTCTTTGTTAAGTAAATCCAAAATCTGTGCTTCTTCAGGCACAGTTTCTATTGCCTTTTTTTGTTCCTGTGTATGGGCTATACTTTCATGTTTCCTTGCTCATCTCATATTTTTTAAAAGTAGTATTTTAAGTAATAAAATCTCGCAGCTATGGAACTACAACCTCCTAAACTTTGTTTTTGTTGGTGTTTATTTTATAGTTTGTTGTTTATTTAGAGACTTTTATGAATTACTTTGGTACAGCTTTTATTTATTTTTTTGTCACACATGCTTAATGAAGTCTTTCTTGGTTCGCTTAGTGGTAAGCTAATTATGGGACACAGATTTCCTTAAACACCTGGAACAAATGTCTCCAAGTATTTGCCAAAGGGCTGTGTGTATGTTGGTCATGCCTTCAACACTCTGCCTGGTAGAATCTTGCTTGTCCTGAGCCTCGAGGTCTGCCAAATACGAAAGCTTAGTTCCTGCTCAGGTCTTTCCTGAGCGTGTGCCTAACCCTGCACATGCTCATAGCCTTACAGATATACACGGCTTGCTAGATTTTCAGAAATATGTCAAATGTTTTTGTAAATTGTATGGACACCTTATTCTTTTTAAGCTTCATGGTTAACCTGTATTGTCTATCCCAACTGTTATTCACTGCCTCAGGCAACTACAGAGTTAAAAACTTGCCTCTAATCTTTTTGACTAACACCTTGGGGAAATAGCTTCTTACATTGTGTGACCTACAAATCAGGTCAAATAACGTTCTGGAATTATCTTAGAATGATACTCACAAGAAGATCCAACCCTGTTTTGTCTCCAGTGGCTGCTAGACTGCGGGTTTCCATCTGATTGTGGGTTAGTTTCGAGGCTGCCACAGAACTGGAGTAAGCAGATGGAAGTAGGGCACATTAAAATTGACATAAAAAGACTCAGTATTCTTAATAATATTCTTAAATAAATGTTAACTCAATTGCTGCAATATTTTGGTTAATTCTCAGAGTTCTGAAAAAAAAGTTCATTCTGAGTATTTTTACCGGTTTTCTCATTGATGTTAAGAAGACAATGAATTTTGGTTATCCTTATCCCACTATTTTTGCTGACATCCTTCTGCAAGATCTTGATTCCTCAAATCCTAGATGACTTGACAGCAATAAACACCATCCGCATGAGACTCCAGATAGTTCTGAGCTCCCACATTTTGCCTTGTCTCTGCAGTCCTTTGCGGATCATTGCTTTAGAAAGAAGAAGTGAATGATGTCTAGTACATTTCCCTGAATTTTGCATCTCTTCCTAATCCTGGCCCTTCAGCTCCTGGCTTCTTTAATTGTTCTTCAATGCCTTTAGGAAGCTGTTTATATTTTTGTTTCTGATCCAGTTTATAGACTCATTGTCAGATTAAGGGTTGTTATGATACAGGCCACCATCCAATTTGGAAACAGTACTGCCTCAATAATAAACCTCTGTGAGTTTGTATAATTTATCCTGATTTGGGATCTTAGTTCAGTTTATAGCTGTAATTTTTACCTGACACCACTGTGACAGCATAAAATATGCTTTTGTTGTAAAACAAGGATTGAATTTTGAATCTGAATATTTCCTATTTACATTAATAATTCAATAATTACTTGAGCAATTTACTTTTTTATTGTTAACTTCACTACTAGATGGAAGGCTCCACAGGGCAAAGACGAAGTATTTTGGGCTTTTTGCTCTACTGTGGCCCTAGAACTCAGCAGAGTGGTGGCCCATAGCAGGTACTCAATAAACATAAACTGAATAAATGAGTAGTTTAAGTGATTCAAATATTAAAGAGAAATATAAAGATATGTGACCTGAAACAATTAGTAGTTGAAATTTTAGTGATGTATAAAGCAAATCTAAACATATTTGTGCTTTTGTTCTGTTTTGTTTTAACTTTTAGGTTTGGGGATACATGTGAAGGTTTGTTATATAGGTAAACTCATGTCATGGGGGTTTGTTTTACAGATTATTTCATCACCCACATGTTAAGCTCAGTACTCAATATTTATCTTTTCTGCTCCTCTTTCTCCTTCCCCTCTGCCCTCAAGTAGACCCCAGTGTCTGCTGTTTCCTTCTTTGTATTCATAAGTTATTATTGAGCTTCTTCTTATAAGTGAGAACATATGGTATTTGGTTTTCTGTTCCTGCATTAGTTTGCTAAGGATAATAGCCTCCAGCTCCATTCATGTTCCTGCAAAAGACATGATCTCGCTCTTTTCTATGGCTGCATATTATTCCATAGTATATATGTACCACATTTTCTTTATCCAGTCTGTCATTGATGGGCATTTAGGTTGATTCCATGTCTTTGCTGTTACGAAGAGTGCTGTAATAAACATTTGCATGCATGTGTCTTTATGGTAGAATGATATATTTTTCTATAGGTATATACCTAGTAATGGGATTGCTAGGTCAAATGGTAGTTCTGCTATTAGCTCTTTGAGGAATTGCCATACTGCTTTCCACAATGGTTGAACTAATTTACATTCCCAACAACAGTATTTAAGTGTTCCCTTTCCTCTGCAACCTTTCTAGCATCTGTTATTTTTTGACTTTTTAATAATAGCAATTCTGACTGGGGTAAGATGGTATCTCATATGGTTTTGATTTGTATTTCTCTAATGATCTGGGCTATTGAGCTTTTTTCATATGCTTGTTGGCCTCATGCATGTCTTCTTTTGAAAAATGTCTGTTCATGAACTTTGCCCACATTTTAAAGGGGTTGTTTGTTTTTCTCTTATAAATTTAAGTTCCTTATAGATGCTGGGTATTAGATCTTTGACAAATATTAGCCAAATGTCCATTTTTTAAAATAAATGTATGATTTTACAATCTTTAGAATGCATTACATGAAGTAACTCAGGAGATTAAGGGACTGTGAACACACTGCTAGAAATGTTTCCTCTATTCCTTGCCATATGTAGACTAAGGTGAAAATTTACTGGGAAAAAAGTTTTGTTTTTTTAAGTTAATATGAACATTTTTTAGTTTCTTATGTTTCTGCATCTTTTTGGTATACTATATTTTATATATATTATTTTATTTTGATTTTAAAGGAATTTATAAAGTGCAATACAACCATATTATCCCACTGCATTTTTCAGGCAGTTCACAAAAATTCCATTGCATATTACTTATACTCACTGACTACTTAGCAATTTTAAATAATTCCCCCTCAAATAATTATTTAAACACTATTCAGAATGTACATAAATGTTGTTCACAGCAGGTAACACGATCGTTTATTACCAATAAAGATATATTAAATGTAAAGCTATTAAAATATTACTGGTCATTTTCAAGTAAAAAATTATAGAATTACCAAATATTATTTTAGATTTAAAAATTTTATTGATGCTCTCTCACTATATTTTTGTGAATTTGATTTAAAAATACCTATATTAAAAGCTGTTTATCTTACATGTCAACATCACCTATATTTATATAGAGAGTTGGCTGAGTTGGAATTGTGAGATGGAAACAAGCTGGTCTTTTGTCATATCTGTCTTTGCTTTGCCATTTTCCTCTTATGAACAAAAACTCAGCATTGTTCACTTTTGCCAACAAATTTTCTCCCAAATCTATAGGCAACAATCTTATGCCATCACATAAACATTTTCTAAGATGATAGCTACCTAATCTGGCCAATTCATCACATTTTTATTAATAATTTATTATATTCCCTGTAGCAAAATATATTGATACACAAAAAGAAGAATCCCACTGGTCTTTTATTTAAGAAAATACATGTGACATCTGAGATTATAAAAACATAATTTCACCAGACTTAAAATCATAGATCTGTCTTTTTTGTCCCGATTGCTCCTATGTGGGTATAATATGCTTGGACTGATGCAGAATTAGGATTGCAGTGCATCTTTTATTTTTATTGTCCCCATCTCCATGCTTTTTATAGATTGATTCATTATTTCCATTACATCTGATGTCTTTTATTACATTTCTTTGTGTGCTACATACATTGTATTGCCTCACATAGATTCTCTTTAGTAGCCAAAGTATTTTAACCATTTTTAAAGCTTCATATACTTTTGTAATTAGACATAATAAAGAAAATGCATTTTTAAAAAGTAGGGACATGAGGAAGTGAAATCATTAGAAAGCATAGGAATTAAAAAGGAAATTCCACAATGTTATACCTCAGTGAGCAAAACAATGCTGCAAGTAGAAAGTTATCTTCAATGTCATGCTCCATAAAGCAAGTAAGTCACATTGATTTCTCAGGTTTCTTCAAGATGTGAAATTTCTTATTAACAAATAATAGTAAAAACATAGTAACAAAATTCTTTGCATATTTTATCAATATTCTCTTTGTAAAAAGATATTCAGGAAATATATCAAAGGACATTTTCCCTCCAGGTGATAGCTAAATTATGCTATTATTTTTCTGTGTAACATCAGAGGCTAGATATGTGTGACTTTGTGTGTGTGTGTGTGTTCATGTGTGCCTAAAGGTATGGCTGTCGAGGACCACATGTGGCCTACGGTCATTTCCACAGAGATTTTTTAGTCAATCTGGTTTTTGGAAATCTGCTAAAAGTAACTACAACTTAGCCAAAGTGCCTCATGAATGGCAAAGTATTTTCTCAAAAATACATCTCCCTACCTTGCCTTGCTATTTCTCAGCACACACTAGCTTCTGTTATTACAACCCATCTTTGTTGTAAGGCTTTGGATTATGTTACTTTTAGTTATCTTTTGTAAGAGTCAATTGATTCCTAGCAAACAAGTATAATTACTGACATGTCTATGAACTCTTTCCAGTAACTGGGAAACTCTGCACTAAATATGTAGTTGCTAAAATCGAGTATAAAGGATCTTGCTAGAAATAAACAGGGAACTTATACAAACTATACCTTAATTTCAATAATCAAGAAATATGGAAAGAAATGATGATAAATGGATTGATAAATGATTAAAGAGGTCAATCATTTGTGCAATAGGTTTAAAAATATTTCAGGATATTGAACCAGAATCTTTGAGCATAATGTGATCTATATTCCAGCAGGTATACATTAAGTCAAGGCTCACAATCGGTATGAAACATCTGCTTGTTATTTTTAAGAAAACTCCTTTTTCTGCATTCACTTGTACAACCAATTTGCATGGTTATTATGTGAGCCTCTTTGAGGATAATATGGCCTTGTTCCTGACAATAGTTGGCTGGTTCAGGTGAGATAATTTGACCAAAACTGCAGAAATTACACTTTCTTTATCAAGAATATTGTAACTTGAACTGAGCTCAGTCAGTATCCATACAGCTGAAAGGCAGGAGCTGTTGGAAATCATGTTCTGCCATGTAAATCAAAGAAAGAAAAATGAAGCAAACATGCAGAGATAAGTAGACTCAAACTACAAGCACAAAACACCTGGAGAGTGATGTCAGCAAAATGATGGAAAAGGCAGCTCAAACATTTATTGCTCCACAAAACCATGGAAAAACAAGGAAAAAAATGTCAGAACCAATTATATCAGGGCTCTGGAAAATAGTCAAAAGGTTGCAGCAGCCAAACAAATGCTGAATTAAGAAAAAAGTAACTTAAAAATGCTAGGAAAGCTTTGTGGCATTTTTAGTTGTCCATGGCCCACAACTAAATACTATGACACCAAAATCTGGTTCTTTGAAAAGATAAATGAAATGCAAAATTTGAAGTGAAATTGCAAAGGAAAAAGAGAGAAGATGCAAATAAATAAATCTGAAAACGAAAATGGGGTCATAACTACTGACTTTACAGAAATAAAAATAATAAGAGAATTCTGTGATAAAGTATATACTTTTAAATTAGATAACAGAATAAATGGAGAAATTCTGAGAAACACACAAATTGCTAAAAAAGACTGAAGAAAAAATAAAACATATGAGCTGACCTATAACAAAATAGAGATTAAATAAGAAAAAAAACCTCACAACAAATACAAGACAGAGCCAGATGGCTTAACTGGTGAATTTTGCCAAACAGTTAAAGAAAGCGCTAACAGCTGTTTCTCAAACTTTCTCAAACTTTCAAAAAATAAGAGGACAGAAAACTTTTTCACATATTCTGTAAGGCCAACATTACTTGATACCAAAGTCAGACAAAGACACTACAAGAAAAGGAAACTACAAACCAATATTATTTATGAATTTTGATGCAGAAATCTTCAACACAATACTAGAAAGCCAAGTTCAATTACCTATTAAGATTACACAGCAAGATCAAGTAGGGTTTGTCCCAGGAATGCAAGGATGGCTAAACATAAGAAAACAATCAATGTAATGCACCACATTAATGGAAAAATTGCAAAAAAAAAAACGACATAATCAGTTCAATTGATGCAGAAAAAAAATTGGGCAAAATTCGAAATGTGTGCATGATAAAAACACAAAAAAACTAGGAGTAGAAGGAAAACTTTTCAACATATTAATGGTGATTATATGAAAACTCCACAATTAACATTAAACTAAATATTGATGAAAGGGTGAAAGTTTTCTTTCTCAGATCAGGAATAAGACAAGGATGTCAATGATTGCCACTGTTCTTTATTTATTTACTGGGAATTCTAGCTCTAGATAAAGATAGAAAAGACATTCAAAAACAAAAAAGAAAAAATAAAATTCTCTTTAATAGAAGATAGCTTGGTTCTATATACAAAAAATCATCAAAATAAACATTGAAAAACTACTAGAGCTAATAGACAAATTCAGCAAGATTATAGGATACAGAATCAATACTCAAATATCAATTATGTTTCTATACATAGGCAACGAAAAATATGAAAATCAGTTAAAGTGAATAATTCTGTTTACAATGGCATCTCAAAGAAGAAAATATCTAGGATTAAATTTAACCAACAAGATGAAAAACTTTTATGCTGTAAACTACAAAATGTTATTGAAAGGAATTAAGAAGATTTAAATAAATAAAAAAGCATTAATATTGTTAAGATATCAATACAGATATCAAGCTAACTACAAATTCAATACAATTCCTATAAAAATTTCAGTCTCTTTTGCTGAAATGGAAAATTATATCTTCAAATTCATATGACATTATTAGAGACACAGAGTAGCCAAAACTATTTAAAAAAAACTTGGTGGTCACAGTTTCTGATTTTAAAACTTACTACAGATATAGATTAGTTAAAATAGTGTGGCACTGGCATAAACATAGACATGTAGGCCAATGGCATAAAACTGAGAGAATAGAAATAAACCCATACATTTACAGCCAATTTGTTTTTAACAAGGTGTGACCTATTAAATGGAGAAAAAGCAGTTTCTTCAACAAATAGTGCTAGGACAACTGGATATCCAGATTCAAAAGAATAAAATGGACCTCTACCTCATACCACATACAAAAGTTAAGTCAAAATGGATCAACAACCTAAACATAAAAACTAAATCTGTAAAACTTGTAGAAAATAACATAGGTATACATCTTTTTAATCTTGGATTTGGCAATTAATGTTTAGATATGACACAAAAAAGCTCAACAAAGAAAAAATAGACATATTTATCTACAACAAAATTTTTTTCCATAAAATCGTATCAAAGAAGTACAGGCAGGGTGTGGTGGCTCACGCCTGTAATCCCAGCACTTTGGGAGGCTGAGATGGGCGGATCACAAGGTCAAGAGATTGAGACCATCCTGTCCAACAAGGTGAAACCCCGTCTCTACTAAGGATACAAAAATTAGCTGGGCGTGGTGGTGCACACCTGTAGTCCCAGCTACTCGGGAGACTGAGGCAGGAGAATCGCTTGAACCTGGGAGGTGGAGGTTGCAGCGAGCCGAGATCCCACCACTGCACTCCAGCCTGGCACAAAGCAAGACTGCATCTCAAAAAAAGAAAAAAAAAAAAAGGAAGTACAAACATTACCTACATTATGGGAGAAAAATGTTTGCAAATCATTTATGTAATAAGGGTATAATTTCAAGTACATATTAAAAATTACAATTCAATAACAGGAAGACAACCCAATTAAAAATAAGTAAAGGAATTGAACATTTATCCAAAGAAGATATACAAAATGGCCAGTAAGCACATGAAAATTTCCTCAATATTATTAGTCATTAAGGAGAAGCCAATTAAAGCCTCTATGAAGTATCATTTCTTACCCACTAGAATGGCTATGTTAAAAATATAAAAAAGAAACATAAAATAACACATGGTGGCAAAAATATGGAAAAATTGTAACCTTGCACATTAATGGTGGAAATTTAAAATGACGTAGCTACTACAGAAGAGTGCATGACAGTTCTAAAAATCATTAAACATAGAATTACAATATGACCCCACAATTCTACTACTGGGCATATATAATTGAACACAAGTGCTCAAATAAGTACATGTATGCTCATAGGAGTGCTAGTTACAACAGTCAAAATAGAAAACAATCCTATATACACATAAAAAGATTAATGGATAAATAAGTTGTGACATAGACACATTATGGAATATTATTCAGTCAGAAAAAGCAATGAATTATCCTGTATGCTACAATGTGGATGAACCTTCAATGCATTATGCTAAGTGAAAGAGGCTACACACAAAAGACACACATGTATAATTATATTTATATAAATTATTCAGTATAAGTGAATTTACAGAGATAGAATGCATATTGTTGGTTGTCAAAGGCTAGGTGAATGGGGATTGGGGAAAGACTGCTTAATGGGTGCTGTGGTCTTAGTGTGTTGAAGATATATTGAAACCTAAATTTACAATGTAATAATCTTAAGAAATACTTCTTTTGGGAGCTGAATAGGTTATGAAGGCTTTTCCTTGATGGATGGAATTAGTGCCTTTATAAAAGAGGCTTGAAGGAGTTCTCCTCTCCTTCTGCCATGTGAAGATGCAACAAGAAGGAACCATCTTTGAGGCAGAGAGCAAACCCTCACCAGACACTAAGTCCGCTGGCACCTGGATCTTGGACTTCCAGTCTTCTGTTGTTTGTAAATTATCCAGTTTGAAATATGTTGTTATAGTAGCCCAAATGGATTAAAACAGTGGATATTTTCACTTTGCAACATGAAAAACATTTTATAAGTAGATAGAGGTAGTGGTAACACAAAATTGTGAATATACTAACTGCCACTTCACTGTTCACATTAAAAGGGCTAATGTTATTTATGAGAATGTCACCTCAATTAATTATTTAAAACAATTCCTGGATTCTCTTTAGGATTCCAATCCCTTGTAATGTCTTATTTCCAATTCCTGTGCTCCATAATAAAATTTTTTATCGCTAACAAAATTTCCATTTTATTTTGCTCAAATCAATGAGGTTTAATTTGTTACTCACAATAAAAATATCTTAAATAATGCACCACTCCTTTATATATATATATATATATATATATATATATATATATATTTTTTTTTTTTTTTTTTTTTGAAATGGAGTCTCACTCTGTCACCCAGGCTGGAATACAGTGGCACGATCTTGGCTCAACTCAACCTCCACTTCCCGGGTTCAAGTGATTCTCCTGCCTCAGCCTCCCAAGTAGCTGGGAGTACAGACACCTGCCACCACCCTGGCTAATTTTTTATATTTTTAATGGAGATGAGGTTTCACCATATTGTCCAGGCTGGTCTCAAACTCCTGAACTTGTGATCTGCCTGCCTCGGCCTCTCAAAGTGCTGGGATTACAGGCATGAGCCACTGCGCCCAGCCTCAACTCTTTATATTCTAGTGTATTCTTACAATGTTTAAAATTTATTAATGAGCTTTGAGGAGGATACAAATAAATGTTATCACACAGGAAGATTTGAATATGTAATCAGCCAAAATAATATTAAAAAGACAGTAAATATTTTGATATGTATTGTAACAACACACTTCAGTTTATACGAAATATAAAAAAAGTTTTGTTTATTTTTAGATCTTTACTTGAAATTAAGTAAGATGCCATCAAAATAGTGGCAGTGATATATTCTTATGGTCTTATTGTCTGGTCAGCTAAAACAAATAGAAAGCTCAAAATGGTTTTGCAGAAGTTATCATAATATACTATGAAGCACTATTACTAAAACAATACAGGATAAACACATCAATATAGGGAAACACTACTGGAACATACTAGAAAATCCAGAAATAGACAAAGTACTTATGACAATTTTGCATACAAAAAAGGCAGCAACTCAATATAGTGAGGAAATGATGGGCATTGCAATAAGTGGTGTGATACCTAGACAGCTTCATAGGAAAAATATAAAATTGGATCAATTTCTCAAACTATACATCAAATTCCAAATGGAGCACAAAGTTAAATGTAAAAAATAAAATGATATAATAATTTATAATTTGGATTAAGGGATAAATTGCTCAGTGCTGTTTAAATTTTCAGAAGCTAAGGTGAAAATATTAATGAATTTGATTACCTAAAAATTATTTTGTGTTGTAATAAAAACATAGTAAGCAAAGTAAAAGGACAAACTATAACTTGTGACAAAGTTATATGCTAATATTACATTAAGAATGTTAATCTTGTAATGTCACTGCCACAGAGCTTTTAAATCTAGAAAGGCATACACAGGCCAAAAACCTTAGAGAAAAATATGGAGAAGATATGAACAGATATCTCACAGAAAAGAGTGGCAAATTATAAAATACTTAACATCATTCAAAATTAGATATTAATAAATGCAAATTAAGCTACATAGGTATACCATTTTTCAACTATCAGTTTGACAAAAACAAGAAATTCTGACAGCAAATTTTTCTCACAGCTGTCAGGCACCTCAAACACTGATAGTGAGAATGAAAATTTGTAAGGCCTATGGAGTAGAATTGTGAAATGTTTATCTAGAAAATGTGCATATATATATACCTTTGAATCCACTAATACAAACTTTAGGAATCTATTCCTAATATACCTTGGTAAACAATAACAAATGATATATACACTGTACTGTATATTATATTGTTTTTAATAAAAAAAGGCAACTCAAATGTCTATTAATAGAAGACTGAGTAAAAAAATGAAAATCTATTGCTACTGATATGGAGCCATCACCAGAAAATATTGATGAAAGAATAAAATAAAATCATATTCAAGGTATAATACTGTTTAGTAAAGATAAAAATCTAGTTTCCAATTCAGGTGAGATAGTATGAGAAACTCTATGGACCTACTCTCTAGCTAAAGTAGTAAAACTGTGAAAATATAACAATTTAATGTTTCAGAAAATTGTCCTAAAGGCATGCAGTAATTGAAAAACATTTTATCAAGAAAATCTACTAAACCTGGTAAGAATATTGAGAATCTGTGGTATATGAACCAAGACCTGCACCTTCCCTCCCCATTCTCAGCTCAGTAACATAGAAACTCCACATTAGGTGGTGTATCCAAGAACACAAGACTCTCTCTCCTGGCCAGCTCCAAGTCAGCGGGCTATTTTCATGATAGGGGTAAGATGTCAACATTTCTCATCCTGGCAAGAGCTACCTCTTTCTGAGGTAAAGTTCCGAGTGACAGATAAGCCTCCCTTTCTCTGCTCAGCTGCCATTAATGGGATGTAGGCACTATTTTGGTAGCAGTGAGACTGAGAACACTGGGGCCCCAATCACCACTCTTAGGGCTTGTAAAGTGATATTGCCAAGCTAGGAGAGGCAAGCCTAGAGACGTGAATCTGCTTCTTCGTTCTTCATTGAATGTTCAACTCCAAACCTGAGGTATTACTAAAAGAAAAGAGCATGATTGTCTCCCCCAAACCCCAGCTTCAGAGCCCTGGCTCAGAGATTTTGCTTGGGGAAAGAATCCTGTTGAAATCTCCTAATATCTTCCAAAAGCAGCTAATTTTATTTGCAACAGAGTATAAAAAAAATGTTAAACCTAAGAAAGACACTTTCAAACAGTAGAAGTTGTGAAAGGCAATTGAGAGGAGATTTATGACTCATTTGTAATACAAGATAGAGTGTAGACCAGGTAGTTTGACAAGAGAAGCAGGGAATGATAGAACTTGGATCCTTCCTCAGGTCAGAACAAATCTTAAAAAGTAATTTTTGGAACTATCTTTTTAATAGAACCAAAATTTGGTTGGATCCCCTTGTGTTAAAAATTGTATTTCAAGACATTATTGAAAACAGTAGAACAATTAGTTTACAATTTGTGGAGATTAAAAACTGGATGTGGATAGGAAAAGAGTCATTCAATGAAAGCCCTGACAAAACCATTGACATTCCAGGATGACTGTTTACATACCCAGGTCTGTTCCCAGAAAGAACATTATAGCTTCACATTGTAGGAGGAAAATAAACTTTACTAACGTAATCCAGGTAGTAACTGAGTAATCAAAGAATGAAATAAGAAGAATATTCAGAGAAGAATCTCCTCTGGAAGATCCCTCTTCTAGAGAAGAAGAATTCTTAGTACTGGTCAAGAATTGCTAGAATATACAATCTAAAAGATCCGGTTTCTACAAAAATAATAAGACAGGTAGAGAAACAGAAAAGTGTGACCCATATACTGAAAAAAAAAGGCAGACAAAAAATACCTTCCTGTTAGAGTGCCCAGATGTCAGATATAATGGAAAAATACTTCAAAGTAGCCATTATAAATATGTTCAAAGCCCTAAAGAAAACCATCATTAAACAAGAAAGGTAATATGACAATCCACCTCAAATAGAGAATATTAATAAACAGATATAAATTATCAAAAAGAACAAAATAGAAATTTCACAGTTAAAAAGTATAAAATAACTAATTTGAAAATTTGACTAGAGGAGCTAAGCAAAATATATGAACTGGAAGAATGAAGAATTAATAAACTTGAAAATAGATTAATATAGATTGTGTAATCCATAGAACTAAAAGAAATCTGAATTAAACAGTGAATAAAATAATTAGAGAAGTGTGAAATATACACATAGTAGGATTACAAAAAAGAGAAGAGAAAGAATAAGAAAAACATTTAAAGAAATAAGAATTTAAAAATTTCCAGTTTTATTGAAAATCATTAATCTACACATCCAGGAAGCTCAACAAACTCCAAGTAGAATAAATGCGAAGAGATCTACATACATATTATAGTCAAAATACAGAAAGCCAAAGACATGAATCAAATCTTCAAAAGCAACAAGAGAAATATGACTCTTCACTTACAAGAGAATGTCAATAATATTAAGTGACTTTTCTTCAGAAACTAGAAGGCAGTGAGACAACATATTCAGAGTACACAAAGAAAAACCTGTCAGTCAACAATCTTATATCCAACAAAGCTACATTTCAAAAAATAAAGGTAAAATAAAGACATTCCTAGATAAGAAAAAATTGAATTTGTTGATAGTAGATTCACGTTACAACATATGCCATAGGAAATTCTTCAGGCTAAAAGCAAGTGACAGTAGGCCATCATGCAAATTCATGCACACACAAAACAAAGAACACTGGCAAAGGTGGTTAGGTATTATATATTTATAAAAAAAAGTGTACATGCATATTTCTTTCCCTTTCTTCTCTTAACAAACTTAAAAAGTCATTCTACACACATTATGTATATGAGGTATTATTTGGCCTGTAACAAGTAGAAATGCAATATATTTACCAATAGCAGCATAAATGAAGTGGGTGAGAGCAAAGTTATATTCTGCTAAGAAAATGACTACAGTTGTTAATTCAAATTCACAGGAACACACACACACACATACACACACACACACACACACACAAAGAAACGATTTTTATAAAAGATAAAGTAAGAGAAGCTATAAATATGTGCTTGCTCTTCTTCACTGAGCATTTTTAAAAGACATAAAATTGCTTAAAATTATAAATAAAGTAATGTGTTGTTGGGTTTGTAACATTAACAATGTATTATACATAACAATATTACCTCAAAAAAGAGGGAAAAAGAAAATAAAGCTACATAGGTATAATGTTTCTATAGCTCACTGAAATTAAATTTGTAAAAATTTGAAGGTTATTCAGATAAGTTAAAATGTATATGGTAAGGTCTAGCACAGTCAACATGAAAATAAGTAAAATATAGTAAAAATATTATGAGAGAAATTGAAATGCTACATTATAAAATATTCATGTAATTTGGCCAGGTGCAATGGCTCATGCTGTAATCTTAGCACTTTGGGATGCTGAGGTGGGAGGATTGCTGGAGGTCAAGAGTGAGAGGCCAGCCTGAGAAACATAGTGAAATGCCATTTCTACTACTACTAATAATAATACTACTACTAATAATAAATTAGCCAGGCATGGTGACATACTCGTTTAGTCCCAGCTACCTTGGAAGCTGAGACAGAAGGATCACTTGAGCCCAGCAGTTTGAGGCTGAGGTGAGCCATTGCCATGGCACTGCACTCCACTGTAAGTGACAGAGTGAGACCCTGTCTCAATAAAAAAAAGAAAAAAGAAAATATTCATTTAATTCAAAAGAAAACCATAAATAATGAGATTAGTAGATGGACAAAATGAATGAAATAGAAATGAGATGTGTAAAACAATAAAATGGCAGACGTAGATACAACTATATCAATAATAACAGTAAGTGTTAAGGGATCAAATAATCTAATCAAATGGCATAAATTATCAACCTGGATAAAAATAAATATTAAAAAAAAACACTACCGTACTATATGCGATCTACTATATGTGCTTAAGAAATATACAAATTGAAAGTAAAAGAATGGAAAATTGCATATAATATGAAAAGAAATCACAAAAAAGTTGGCATAGCTACACTAATATCAGGTAGGATTAACTTTAAAAGAAAAATGTGGCTAGACATGAAGAGCAACATTTTGTAATAAATTAATAAATTAGCAAGACATAATTGACATAATTATATACCTGTATCAAATGGTATAGCAACATAATACAGGATGCAAAAGCTGAGAGAATAAAAAGAAGAAATAAACAATAATAATATTTGAAGACTTTAGTATCCCACTTTTAATATAGATGGAGCAAGATGGTGAATAGAAGCCCACACTATTCATCCCCCAACAAGAACACCAAATGTTAACAAGTATCTTCACGCAGAAAGCACCATCACAAAAACAAAAAATCAGATGAGCAATCACTGTACTTGGTTTTCACTTCATATCACTAGAAGAGGCATTAAAGATGGTAGGAAAGACCATCGTGAATCACCAACACCACCTGTCTCCATCTTCCAGTAGTGGCTACTCAGTGGAGAGAGTCAGTCTGTGTATGCAGAGGACAGAGAGCGCAACAAATGGGGGACTTTACATAGAACTCAGTGCTGCCCTGTCACAGAGGAGAGCAAAGCCATGTTGGGCTCGGGCAGCACCCACATACAGAGGGAGCATGTGGACCAGACTTAGCCAGAGGGGAATTGCCTATCCCAGTGGTTGGAACTTGAGTCCCTTAGTAAGCCATGCCATTGCAGGTCAAAGTGCTCTGGGGTACTATGTAAACTTGAAAGACAGTCTAGGCCGGAGGGACTGTAATTCCTAGGCGACTTCTAGTGCCTGCCTGGACTTAGAGCCTGGGGACTAGGGTGAAACATGACTATGGAGACACTAGTTGGGTTAGCTAAGGGAGAGCTTGTGCCACCCCTCCTCCAACTCCAGACAGTGTGATTCACAGCAACGAAAGTGACTCCTTTCTTCTGCTTAAGGAGAGGACATTGAAGTGTAAAGAGGATTATGTCTTGTATCTTGGATACCAGCTCAATCGCAGTAGCATAGAAAATCAAGTAGACTCATGAAGCCCCCATTCCAGGTCCCAGCTCCCAAACAACATTTCTAAACACAGCCTGGGCCAGAAGAGAACCCACTGCCCTGAATGGAAGAACCTGGTCCTGACAGGATTAATCACCTGCTGACTAAGGAGCCCTTGGGCCCTGAATAACTAGCAGTGATACTCAGATAGAATGTCATAGGCCTTGGGCTCTCATACATGGTCACTACGGGTATGACCTAGCACATTTCTGCCCATGGTGGCTGTGGTGAAAGACTCTTTCCATTTGAGAAGAGCAGAAGGAAATGTAAAGGGGTCTTTGTCTTACACCTTAGGTACCAGCTCAGCCACAGTAAGGTAGAGCAGCAACAAGAAGGTGCTTGGGGTCCCTGAGTTCAAGCCTGAGCCATTAGACAGAAATTTTGGATGTTCCCTGGGTAGAGGAGAGCCCCTTGCTCTAAACTATGAGTTCCAGGCCTGGCAGCAATCACGAGCAAATCATAAGCTGACTAAAGAGCCTTAGGGCTTTAAGTGAACATTTGTTGTAGCCTGGCAGAACCCTTCTGTTAGCCAGTGGTTGGGGTGGCCACAGGAAGAGACTCCTCTGCCTCTGGAAAAGGAGGGAAGAGGAGAAAGGACTTTGTATTGTGGTTTGAGTGCCAGCCTAGCCAAAGTAAAATAGAACATCAGGCAAATATCTAAGGTTTTTGACTCCAATTCCTGGCTTCCAGAAAACATCTCTGGACTAGCCAGAGATGAGGCCTGGAGGAACTCACTACCCTGAAGGGAAAAGCACAAACCTGGCTGGCTTCACCACCTGCTGATCATAGAGCCTTGAGTGAACATAGGTGTTAGCTAAGTAGTGGTTACAGTGGGCCTTGGGTGAGACCCAGTGTTCCGCTGGCTGCAGGTCTGACTTAGTGCAGTCCCAGTGGTAATGGTGAAAGGAGGAGTTTCCATCACTACAAGCACAGTTCCAGGCAGCTCAGTAGAGAGAAAGATACTCCGTTTGTTTGGGAGAAAATAAGAGAAAAGAACAAGAGTCTTTGCTTGGAAACTCAGAGAATTCTTCTGGATCTTTTCCAAGACCACCAAGGCAGTACCTCTATGAGTCTGAAAAAACCACAGCAATATTGGGCTTGAGGCCCAAGTCCTTTTTAATACCGGGAAATATTTCTCGAGAAGAATGGGCACAAACAAGCCCAAATTTGAAGACTAAAACAAATACCTAATTCTTCAATGCCCAGACACTGACAAACATTTGTAAGTATCAAGACCATCTAGGAAATCATGACCTCACCTTCTGAACTAAATAAGGCACTAGGGGCCAAATCTGGAGAAACAGAGAATGTAACTTTTCAGGCAGAGAATTAAAAATAGCTGAGTTGAGGAAAATTAAAGAAATTCAAGATAACACAGAGAAGAAATTCAGAATTCTATCAGATAAATTTTAAAAAGAAATATAATTTAAAAAAATCAAACGGCAATCCTAGAGTGGAAAATTCTGATTGCCATGCTGAAGAATCCATCAGAGTCTCTTAATAGCAGAATTCATTAAGCAGAAGAAATAATGAGTGAGCTTGAAGACAGGCTATTTGTAATACACTGTCAGAGGAGACAAAAGAATAAAGAAAAAAAATAAAACAGTGAAGCATGCGTACAGGATCTAGGAAATAGCCTCAAAAGGGCAAATCTGAGTTATTGGCCTTAAAGCGAAGGGAGAGAAAGAGATAGGGGTAGAAAATTTATTCAAAAGGATAGTATCAGAAACTTTCCTAATCCTGGAGAAAGATGTCAACATCCAAGTACAAGAAAGTAATAGAACACAAAGCAGATTTAAACCCCTAAAAAACTACCTCAAGTCATTTAATGATCAAACTCCAAAAGATCAAGGATAAATAAGCGATCCTAAAAGCAGCAAGAGAAAATAAATAAATAACATAAAACGAAGCTCCGATCCATCTGGCAGTAGACTTTTTAGTGGAAATCTTACATGCCGAGGGAGAGTGGCATGATGTATTTAAAGTAAAGAAGGAAAAAAGTTTTTACTTGAGAATAGTGTATCTGGAAAAAATATCCTTCAAGCATAAAAGAGAAATGAAGACAATCAGTTGCTGAGGGATTTAATCAACACCAGATCTGTTCTATAAGAAATGCTAAAGGGAGTTCTTTAATCTGAAAGAAAAGAATGTTAATGAGCAAGAAGAAATCCTCTGAAGGTACAACACTCACTGCTAATAATAAGTACACAGAAAAACAAAGAATGTTATAACACTGTAACTGTGACGTGTAAACTAGTCTTATCCTTAATGGAAAGACTAAACAATGAAGCAATTGGAAATAATAACTACAAAAACTTCTCAAGACATAGTCAATACAACAAGATATAAATGGAAACAATAAAATGTTAAAAAGTAGGGGGATGAAGTTAACGCATAGAGTTTCTATCAGTTTTCTTTTTGCTTGTTTTTGTTTGTTTATGCAAACAGTGTTAAGTTGTTATCAGATTAAAATACTGGGTTATAAGATAGTATTTCCAAGCCTCATGGTAACCTCAGACCAAAAGACATACAATGGAGACACAAAAAATAAAAAAGCAAGAAACTAAATCATATCACCAGAGAAAGTCATCTTCACTAAAAGGAAGACAGAAAGGAAGAAAGAAAAGAAGGGAAGAACACAAAACAACCAGAAAAATATTAGCAAAATGGCAAGAGTAAGTCTCTACTCATCAATAATAACATTGAATGTAAATGTACTCAACTCTTCAACGAAACAACATAGAATGTGTGAATCGATTAAAAAACAAGACCCAGTGACCTTTTGCATACAAGAATCACATTTTACCTATAAAGATAAACATATACTGAAAATAAATGGATGGAAAAAAAAAACACTCCGTGGAAACGGAAAACATAAAACGAGCAGGAATAGCCAAATTTACGTCAGACAAAATACATTTCAAGGCAAAAACTGTAAGAAGAGACAAAGAAGGTCATTATATAATGATAAAGCGGTCAACAACAGGATATAATTATAGCAAATATATATGCTCTCAACACTGGAGCACAAAGATATATAAAGCTCATATTATTAGAGCTAAAGAGAGAGACAGACCTCAATACAATAATAGCTGGAAGCTTAATTAGTTCACTTTCAGGATTGAACAGATTTCCTAGACAGAAAATTAACAACAAAAATATTGGACTTAATTAGAATAAAAAAGTGTAGCTCACTGCCAGAGATCATTTAATTTTACACAAAAATGCTTTTTGAGGCTGAAGCAAACCTGACTGATTTGCAATGTGAAAATAAAATATAAAAACTATTATTGGAGTTATTTCTAAACAGAACTAACATCAGAATCATCTGAATCTTCAGAATCATCTATTTCAGAAAAACTGGATCTATCAAATGAATCTTTGGCCAACAACTGTTCAAGAACAATGCTAAAATCAGGCATAGGAATGTTACAATTTTCTAGGATTTGACATTTTTAGCGATCGAGAATTAATATATTTTAAAAACAGAATGATACAAATAGAATGATGTCTTTTGTTTCCAAAGTTGATATACTAGAGCAATGCAAAAATAATAATAAAAGCAAAGCAAAATTTTTCATGGAAAATGGGGTAAACACTGCAGCTGCAAGCACCGTTAGTGAATACCTTAAGACACTGGAAAAAGAAGTCCGTACTAAACCTAAAGTAAGCAGAAGGAATGATAATGATTAGAGTAGAAATTAATGAAACTAGAAAAGTAATAAATAAAATCAATAGAAACAAAAGTTTATTCTTTGAAAGCTTCAAGAAAATGAATATAATTTTAGCTAAATTAACCAAGAAAAAAGTAAGAAATACTCAATTTAATAAAGTCAGAAATGAAAGAGCAGACAGACATTACTACTGATCTTTCAGAAATCATAAGGCTTACAAAAGAATACTATGAGAAATTATATACTAATAATTAGATAACTTAGATTAAATTAACATAATCCTGGAAAGATACAAACTATGAAATCTAACTCAAACAGAAATGGACATTTTGAAGAGACCTATGTCAAGAAATTTAATTATAAATTCAAAAACTAACCACAAAAAATTCCCATGCCCAGGTGTCTATGCTGGTCAATTATACCACACATTTGCAGAAATATTAATACCATTCCTTATAAACTTTTCAAAAATATCAAAGCAGTACAAATGCAACACAATCATTATGTGAGCTCGGTTTTACCTTGCTCCCAAAGTAAGATAAAGACATAACAAGAAAACTGCAGAACAATACCTCCAATGAATTTGTATATAAAAATTCTCAACAAAATACTAGCAAATGAGTCAGCAATTATAAAAGAATTATACACCAGGGCCAAGTGGTGTATATCTGAATGCAAAGTTGGTTTAACATATAAAAATCAATTAATGCAGTATAGCATATAAATTGAATAACATTTTAAAAAACACATAAATATCTTGTTAGATATAAAAAATGCATTTGACAAAATCCAATACTCTTTTTTTATTTTTTTAAAATAACTACAAATAGAGAAATACTTTCTTAACCTGATAAAGGGCAGCTATGAAAAATCCTGCAGGTAACACAGTTCTTATTGATGAAAGACTGGATGCTTTCCCACTAAGGACATAAGAGGGAAAATGGAACATGAGAAGATTTATTACTCTCACAATCTCTGTTCAACATACAGGTTCTAGACAGCATGATTAGCAAGCATAATAAATAATAGGTATCTGGATTAGAAAGAACAAAGTAAAACTCTCTTAATTCATAAATTACGTGATCTTAAATATAGAAAATCCCAGGAAATCCACTAAAAAAACTAAACTAATACACGAGTTCAACAATATTGCAGAATACAAGATCAGTATTCTAAATTCAAATGCGTTTCTATATATTTTCAATGAAAAGTCTAAAAATGAAATTAGAAAATTAATTCAATTTACAATAGCATCCAAAAAAGTAAAGTATATGGGAATGTATTTCAGAAAAGAAGTACAAAACTTATTCTCTTAAAACTGCAAACTGTTGAAAATACAGATAGTTCCAAACTTATGTTGGTTCAATTTATCATTTTTCAGCTTTACAATGAGTTTATCAGGATATTATATACATTTCTGACATGATATTTTTGAGATACAATGGGTTTATATGAATGTAACCCTATTGTAAGTCAAGGAGCATCTCTCATTAAAGAAGATGCAAATAAATGGGAAAACATCTCTGGTTCGTGGATTGGAATATATAATATTGTTAAGATGGCAATACTTCCCAAATTGATCTACAGATTCAATAGAGTCCCTATCAGTATCCAAACTGGCTTCTTGATAGATACTGAAAAAGTGACCCTAAAATTAATACAGAAATATAAGTGACTTGGAATAGCCAAAGCAACCTTGAAAAAGAACAAAATGAGATAACTTGCATTTTAAACTTACTTCAAAGCAACAATAATAAAGATAGTGTGATATTGGCCTAAAGATATATATACAGATCAACGGAACAAAATTAAGAGTCCAGAAACAAACTCTTGTTTCTATAATCAACTTCTTTTTTAAAAAATCTTTTTTGTGGTGAACTTCTTTTTGACAAGGATGGCAAGGTCAATCAATCGGGAAATTCATTCTTTTCAACAAATTTTATTCTTTTCAACAAATGGTGCTGGAACAAGTGGATATCCACATGCAAGAGAATAAAGTTACATACATATTCCCTACTATCTACAAAAATCAGCTGAAATAGATCAAAGCCCTACATGTAAGAGATACAACTATAAAACTTTTAGAAGCAGAGACAAACTATTGTGACCTAAAATTTGGCAATGGTTTCTTAGATACAACATCAAAACTCAAGCAAATAGAAAAAAAAAGAGAAATTGCCCATCAATAAAATTAAAAACTTCTGTACTTCAAAGGACACTATCAAGGAAGTGAATACACAACACACAGAATGGGAGAAAATATTTGCAAATTATATATATATATAAAATCATATATTATACATATATAATAAGGGACTTGCATCTAGAATATATAATGAACATATAACTCAATAATAATAAGACAAACCAATTAAGAATCAGTCATTAAGCTGAGTAGACATTTGTCCAAAGAAGATATATAAATGGCAAACACACACAAAAAGATATTCAACATCATTAGTAATTAGAGATACGCAAGTCTAAACCACAATAAGGTGCCAGTTCACAACGTCTAGGGTGAGTAGAATAAAAAAGTCAAACTATAACAAGTTTTGGCAAGAACAGAGAAATTGGAACTTTCGTATACTGGTGGAAGTGTAAAATTATGCAGACACATTGGAAAAATAACTTGGCAGTTTCTTAAACCAGAAAACATAGAGTTATCACATGACTTAGCAATTCCACTCTTAGATATATACCTAAGAGATATGAAAATATATATTCACACAAAAACTTGCACATGGATGTTTATATCAACATTATTTATAAAACCCAAAGGATGAAAACAATCCAAATGTCCATTAACCAATGAATGGATAAACAAAATGGTATGTGTACAGTGGAATGGTATCTGACCATAAAGAAGAATGAAGTACTAAATCATGAAGTATAAATCATGAATGAACCTTGAAAACATTATGCTAAGTGAAAGAGTAAGAAAAGCCAGTCACAAAAGACCACAAATTATATGATTCAATTTATATAAAACTTTCAGTATAGGGAAATTTATAGAGATCATCTCCCCATCTCAAAGTCAATAACCTTAATCACATCTTCAGAGTTCCAGTGGGTCTAGTGGGAGGGTGGGTCCAGTGGGAGGGTAGGTCCAGTGTAATTACATGAACTCTTAAAAGCAAAAAAAAATTAAAAAGGCAAAAGAGAGGGTCAGAGAGATAAGACAGAAAGATGAGAGATTCACAGTGTAAGAAGACTTGTCCATCATTGTTTGCTTTGAATATGGTGGAAGGGAATAAAGAGCTAAGGAACACAAATGGCCTCTAGAAGCTGGAAACATCTTCAGCCAACAGCCAGCAAGGAAAGGAGGACCTCAGTCCCACAACAGAAAGGATTTGAATTCTGCCAAGAAACTTGGAATAGAATGAATTTGTGTGTCAACCCAGAAGAGTGTCCTTACTGGAACCAAACCATGCTGGCACGTTGATCACTGTCTTCCAGCCTCCAGAAATGTGAGAAATACATTTTTATTGTTTTTAAGCCACCCTATCTACAGTACTTTGTTATGGAAGCCCATACTACGATAAATCTGATTGTACAAGGAATGCATTCTCCCCCAGAGCCACCAGAAAGGAAGGAAGACCTGCTATCATCTAATTTTAGCCCAGAGAGATTCATGTTAGACTTCTTACCTCCAAAACTACGAAATAATACTTTTGTATTGTTTAAGCCAGTAAATTTGTGGCAATTTGTTGTGCAGCAATAAAAAGCTAATGCAGTGTCCATACACTAAAATTACTCACTTTGCAACATATCTGGATCAGAATTTTAAATCAGACTTAGCATTATATTAGTTATTGTACTTCTGTTGTGAAATTCAAACAATGATCCAGGTTCCCAATTTAAATTTCCACTATTTCCAGCAATTTTATCATCAAAATTAACCAAATGAAGCAAAAAGGTAAAAGTGAGAATACAAGAAACGATGTATTCATATATATATATGAAAAGAATATGCTTGGCCAGAGGAAAACATTCGGTTGAGATTACAAATAAACTAGGAATGTTTTGACTACCAACACATGTTGGGATTGAACTTTTAGTGATACATCCCTCTCTCTTTATTGTGATTAGTTCTGTTTAAAATTAATGAGACTTGTCTGTTTATAGCAAGGAGAAAGTAAACCTTCTAGTGATCAATGGTTTAAATCCTTATCTATCCAGGGGATAATTCAGTAGAACTTATTAAATCCGTTAAAATATCCATGGAGAATACTCATATGAATATTTAGCTATGGTGTACTTTAGACCATTAAGAATAGAAAGTACAATGTTATGTTCAGTGCATATCTTCATTTTGAATATTTTACTATGTATTCTTTGTATTCTGCATTAAAGAAAAGCTTCTTAAGAGGAAGATCATCGCATAAAATTAGGCATCATTCTTTGTGATACCTAGGACAATATTTAATTTTAAAAAATGTGTCCTAATTTTCTTTTTTTACTAAATGTTTTAATGTAATGGCAAAGATATTCAAAACTTCTTTCGTAAGTTCTGGAAAAGGATGCTTCTTTCTTTCTTGAGCCTAATGATACTGTTTATAATTCATATAGGCATGCAGTTTATAACATGTTTATGGCTCACTGCCTACATTAGTATTATAATTATATTTCTATTGTGGTTGCCTTTGAAGCCATTACTCACCCATATGGAATAGATATGCCCATTTTATTATCTACCAGAAAATCAAAGTATCTTAACATTTTATAAATGGAGTATTTGTCCTACATTGATTGAGCTAGATTTTTATTGTGTGTAAACTACTCCCAGGGAAAATTCTGGGCATTTTTGGAAGCTGTGTGAACTCTTCCTTGTCACTGGAGTACCACTAGTAAGTTATTGCTTCAGTGGCCTGAAAGAAGTCATTCCTCTTCCAAAATGCCTAATTGACTCTCTGGAGTAGGGCAGGTGGTAGCTGCTCAGTCACTATTGTTTTTCTTATTGTCAATTTCCACTTCAATTGTGAATTTAATGGAAGAACACTAAGTGAGCCAGATTCTCCCAGCATGGGAGCCCATCAAGGCTAACTCAAGCAGTCTTTTGTCTAACTTGAGAATTCAGCCACAGCTTGGTGTTAAGATTGGAGGTAATCATTTAATGACTAAAGAAGTATGGATGGCTCCGAGGTTAAAAGTCAGTACCAAGGGTTTTAATAATTTATCTGACAGTATAAGTCAGATAACATGTTTTAAATGGAGGATATTTTGGCACTAGAGATCTGGAGATCAGAGCTACCAGAAGAACAATGACTGTACAGAAAGAGGATTTTTTAAAATGAAAGTTTGTTTTAAGAATTTCACTGAGTAATCTCTGAAATTGGGTGTTTTTAAAGGAGTTTGAAGAGAATATTCTTTGATGGGACATTAATATAAGGCCACTCTTTAAATAACAACTAAAAGGCAAGCAGGCTTTCCAGACACCAGTAAATCCAACAGGTTCTGCAAAATCACTGCCAAATGTCATCTGACATCTTGTAAAAGCATCTTTTCTTAGCCTATCTACTGTGACTAATATAATAGCACAGTGGTATTATAAACTCATAAATTGTAATTTCTAAGATTCAACCAATACCCAGGGAAATGCATAATAAAGTTATCTTCTTTGCTTTAAATGTTCATATATGTTGTCCTTTTTAGAATTACCTAACAACTGTTGTTTCATAGATACCATTTTATGCAAACTTCTGACAGCTCTAATTTTTTTTGAGTGCTTAAATTATTATGCCATGGTCACCCATCAGTAAAAGTGTAGTTGTCAGAGGCATGTGAACCAGAACAACACCATCTTGAATAGGAGGTGGGTAAAATAAGGCTGAGACTTACTGGACTTCATTCCCAGATGGTTAAGGAATTCTAAGTCACAGGATGAGATAGGAGGTTGGCACAAGATACAGGTCATAAAGACCTTGCTGATAAAACAGATTGCAGTAAAGAAGCTAGGCAAATCCCACTAAAACCAAGATGATCACGAGAGTGACCTCTGGTCATCCTCACTGCTACACTTCCACCAGCACCATGACAGTTTACAAATGCCAGAGAAATGACAGGAAGTTACCCTACATGGTCTAAAAGGGGGGAGGAATGAATAATCCACCCCTCGTTTAGCATATAATCAAGAAATAACCATAAAAATGGGCAACCAGCAGCCCTCGGGGATGCTCTGTCTATGGAGTACCCATTCTTTTATTCCTTTACTTTCCTAATAAACTTGCTTTCATTTTACAGACTTGCCCTGATTTCTTTGGCCACTAGGCTTTCTTTCATTTTGTCTCAGTGTCCTTTCAGCAAGCCCTATTATTTAATTTCTTGTCCACCCAGATATTCCAAGTCCATTTTTTATTTGTTCTGTCCCAGTCCTAGACTCAGTCACTTCTCTAAGGAGCCTTGGTTCCTTGCATTGAATGATGCTATTCAGAACCAGCAATCTTAGCACTAGATTGGCTCATTGCCGCTTGGTTGACATCAATTCTACATTCTCTCAGGTGATGGAGCTAAACCACCCACATGTACATGTATCTCCATTTTGTTTCAGCATCTATCAAACCACATACATGTTAAAAAGGCAATTAGTTTATACTTACACCTCTGATTCTGACCCAATACACATCCAACACTGGGTTTATATTAACTTTCCCTCTTTCTCATTTGTAACTTCTTTCATCAGATAGAAACTCAGCTCTTATTATCGATAATGGATTTACTTATTAGTCCAATCTTAGTATAAATCTAAAGTACTTGTAAAATTGGTAACTCATACCTCTATGAGAAACAAATCTACTAACAATATTGTATAATTTTATGTATAGTTTTCATTGAGTTTTGTTTTCTTTTTGACACAGGGTCTTGCTCTGTCGCTCAGGCTGGAGTACAGTGGTGTGATCATGGCTCACTGCGGCCTTGACCTCCTGGGCTAAAGGAATTCTCCCACCTGTCCAAGTAGCTGGGACTACAGGCACCCACCTCCATGCCTGGCTTTTTATTTTATTTTATTTCATTTGAGTAGAGATGAGGTCTCACTATGTTGTCTGGCTGGTTTCATGTTCCTGAGCTCAAGCAATTCTCCTGTCTCAGCCTCCCCAAGTGCTGGGATTACAGGCGTGAGCCACAGTGCCCAGTATGTTTTTTTGTTTTTTTTTCAATTCAAAACATTGCAGTAATCACTTAAAAACATTGCTTTCCAAATTTAATCAGGTTAATTTTTTTCTCCATTCTCTTCAGTGTACTCATGTTACTTATTTTTAAATGCAATCAGATTCATTTGTTGTTGTTTGCATTCCATTTTAATTTCTCCCACATTCTGGTTAATTTTTAAATTGTTGCATTAGAGCATGTGACATGTTAATATAATTTGAGGAGTAAAAAGACATATAAAAATATGTAATGAGAAAATTCCCTCTCCTTTCTCATCTCTACTACTGGGTTCCAATTATTCATTTATTTCTACCCCCTTCTTACCTACCCTTGTGTAGATGATCAATCTTGTTAGTTTCTCATTTATCCTTTCCAGATTTGTGTTGCTTAAATGAGAAGATTCATGAATTTATAATATACAATTTATAAATTGCATATTTTTAAAACTTATTTTAAGTTCAGGGGTACAAGTGCAAGTTTGTTACATAGGTAAGCTTGTGTCATGGGGGTTTGTTGTACAGATTATTTCATCACCCAGGTATTAAGCCTAGTACCCTTTAGTTATTTTTCCTGATCCTCTCCCTCGTCCAACCCTGCACCCTCCAAAAGGCCCCTGTGTGTCCTGTTCTCCTCTATGTGTCCATGTGTTCTCATCATTTAGCTCCCATGGAGAAGTGAGAACATGCAGTATTTGGTTTTCTATTCCTGTGTTAGTTTGCTAAGGATAATGTGCCCCAGCTCCATCCATGTCCCTGTGAAGTACATGAGCTGGTTCTTTTTTATGACTGCATAGTATTCCATGGTATATATGTGCCACATTTTCTTTATCCAGTCTATCACTGATGGGCATCTAGGTTGATTCCATATTGCATATTTTAAATACTCTTTTGCATATTATACTTCATATTATAAATACTCTTTTTATCTTGCTTGTTAAAAATTTACATATAACAGTATGTTCTGGAAAGCACTATAAGTCAGTTCATTGAGTTCGTGCTTCTTCAGTTTTTTAGCTACATAAGGCTGCATTTCAGAATGTATCATTGTTCAACCATTCTTCTACATATGGACACTTAAGTTGTTTCCATTATTTTGGAAACATAGACAATGAGGCAATAAATAACCTTGTGTATGTATATTTTTTGTATTGTTGGAGGTTTATCTTCAGAGTAAATTTCTAGAAATGAGATTGCAGTTTCAAAGGTTTAAGTTCATACTCTGTATGGTTGTGGTTGGCTGAATAATAGTCCCTTAAAAGACACTCATGTCCTAATCTCAGAACATTTAATTCTTACCTTCTATGTAAAAGGAGCCTTGCAAATGTGATTACATTAAGGACCATGAGATTATGTTGAATTATCTAGGTTGGCCTGATGTAATTACAAAGTTCTTATCAGAGAGAGGTAGAAGATCAGAGTGAGCAGAAATAGATGAGATGATGGAAACAGAAGGTTAAAGCGGTATGAGGAAGGAACTACAAGCAAAGGAATGCACATGTCACTTTCAGCAAGGAAAATGGCAAGGAAACAGAGTTTCTTTTGAAGGCTGCAAAAGAAACAAGCCCTGTTAAAAATTTGATTTTAGTCCAATAAAACTGATTTGGATGTCTGATTTCCAGGAAGTAATATTTTGTTGTTCTAAAACAAATTGAAGGTAATTTATTACAACAGCCAATAGAAAACCAATACAATAGTTTTGCTAGATTTTCTTCCAAGAAGAAATGTACCAATTTACATTATCACAAGGAATGCAAGAGAGTGCCTATTTCCCTACAAATTTGCCAATGGAATGTGCTTTCATACTTCTAAACTTTTGCCAGTCTGATAAGTGAGAAATGTTTTTTCAGAGTTGTTTTAATTGTATTTTGCTAATTACTATTGGCTTTGAACATTTTTATTTCATGTTTTAGAGCTATATTTTATATGTTTGAGTGAATTATCTGCCTATGTTTTTTCTCAATTTTCTGTCAGAATTTTAGTTCTTCATACCTGAAATTTTAAGAGTTCTTCATTAGCGATAAAAGCCTTTTGTATTATATGTTACTAATATTCTCTCTGTTTATCTGTTGTCTGGAAACTCTGTTTATGGCATGTCTCTCATGCATTTTCTTTCCTTTTAGTTAATTCATCTATATTTTATTAATGTTTCCAGATTTTGAGTTATAGTTAGAAAGACATTTCCTATGCCAAAGTTAAAGACTTCATTTATATAAAAATAGTTTTAATCACGTGATGCTACAATAAAAATGAGAAAATGTGGCAAACACCAACATATTTTGCCAATCAAAATGAGTCTTGTTGTTCCTCTATTCACCTTGCTTTTGCAATCAATTTTCATCCTTACCAGGTATAATTACACTGTGTTTATCATTACTATTCTGAATAAGAATACTGAAGTATTTCAAAATTGTATTATTAAAATATTGCTTCTTAAATGAACTTATCTCAATATTATCTTGCTTAAGACAAGCCTGGGATGGATGTTATGATGGGATCATATTACTGAATAAAGTGTTCTCAGAAAGAAGAAGGAGGTTTAATATTTTTACTCTGATTATTTTGAAAAAAAAAATCTAAATTTATCAACAATAAAATACTTGGTGGGGGAGTGGCCATGATGACTAGAAGCAGCCAATGCGCATTGCTCTCAAGGAGAGAAATGGAAGGGGCGAGTAAATACAGCGCCTTCAGCTGAAACATCCAGGTACTCACATTGAAACTAATAAAGGAAACAACTTGACACATAGAAAATGGAGAAAAGCAAGGCAGGACAATGGCAAATCTGGGAGCGACACAGACCTAGAAGAAGCTTCCTCACCAGAGAAACAGTGAGTGAATGTGCTACCACGAGATCCTATACCTCTTCCATGGATCTTTACAACCCTCAGGTGAGGATATCCCTTTGTGAACCCACTCCACCAGGGCCTTCAGTCTGACACACAGAGCTACGTGGAGTCTTGGCAGAGCAGCTGCTCAAACACACACAGTGACTCAGGAACTTTACATACTCTGGCTTTCCAGGCTCCTGGCAAAAGTAGCTGCAACTCCAGGAAAGTGAGGGGTTAGACCCCCATACATACCCCTAGATAAAAAGGCTGAATCCAGGGGGGCATGCAGTGATGGTCTGCAGGCCACATTTCCACGGCACCTCGCAGAATAAGACCCACTGGTTTGGAATTCTAGCCAGCAACTGGTAGCAGCAGATCACCTCCTGGGGTGGAGCTCCCAGCAGGAATGACAGGCCACCATCTCTGTTGTTTGGTCAACTTAGCTGTTATGGCCTTTGGGCTTTGATGAGTCCAAGCTGACCTGGGGCAAAAGGAATCCCCCAACACAGCACAGCTGCTCTACCAAAACATGGCCAGACTGATTCTATAAGTTGGTGCCTGATCCCATTCCTCCTCACTGGGCAGGACCTCCCAACCAGGGCCTTCAGCTACCTCCGCCAGTGTTCTCTGTCTGTATTAGTATGATTTCATACTTCTATGAAGAACTGGCCAAGACTGGGTAATTTATAAAGGAAAAAGGTTTAATTGACTCACAGTTCAGCATTGCTGGGAAGGCCTCAGGAAACTTACAATCATGGCAGAAGGAGAAGGGGAAGCAAGGCACCTTCTTCGCAAGGCAGCAGGAAGAAGTGCCGAGTGAAGCAGGTAAGAGCCCCTTATAAAACCATCAAATCTCGTGGGAACTCACAATCATGAGAACAGCATGGGGGAACTGCCCCATGATTCAACTGCCTCCACTTGGTCTCTCCCTTGGCATGTGAGGATTATGAGGATTATGGGGATTACATATCAATATGAGATTTCGGTGGGGACACAAAGTCTAACCATATCACTGGCCAACAGAGATTTGAAAACTCTCTGAGACAGAGCTCCCTAAAGGGAGGGGTGGAACACCATCTTAGCCATTCCAGCCTTCAGGCTTTGGAGACCCCAAGCCGACTGTTGGTGGAAACAGTGCCCTAGCACAGTATAGCCGCCCTATGAAAATGTTGCCAGACTGCTTTTTTAAGCAGGTCTCCGATCACAATCCTCATCACCAGGGAAGACTCCAGACAGGGGTCTCCGGCTCCCCAACTGGTGTTCTCTAGATAACAGAGGTTTCAGGCTTCCCTGGGATGGAGCTCCCAGGTAGAAGAGTGGGCTAGAATCTTTCCTGCTTGGACAAATCAGCTGTTCTAGACTTTGGGCTTTGGAGTGTCCAAGGTAACTGTGGGCTGAAGCAGACCCCCAGAACAGCACAGCTGCTCTATGAAAATGTGACCAGACTACTTTTTTTTAATGGTTCCCCAATCCCATTTCTCTTAACTTGGTGAAGCCTCCCAACCTGGGTCTTCAGCCGCCTCCTACAGGTGTTTTCAGGCTGGCAACAGGCCTGTACTTCTCTGGGTCAGAGCTCCCAGGGAAAGGGACAGGTTGCCATCTTTGCTGTTTTACAGCCTTTACTTCTGATCACTGAAAAATATGAGGCAACTAGGGACTGAAGTGGGTCTCCATCCAGCATACCACAGCAGACCTACAGAAAAGTGGCCAGACTGTTATGTGGGCGCTTGCTCCCATATCTTTTCAATGAACAGGTTCTCCAGATCTGGGCCTCAAGTCACCTCCCACCAGAGCTATGCAGCCATTAGCAACTCAACAACTCCCTGGACAGAGCCTCCAAGGGTAACTGAAAACCTCTCTGCCACTGCCTCTGAATTGGAACCCTCCTTGTTTCCCTCAGACTAACAAAGCAGCAAAGACCCTAAGTGCCTTATCTACATCTCCCAACAATCTACAGTCAACCCAAGGATGGAAGATCATCCTGTCTCCCATGGGTCTTACACATCCCTGACTGCTCATCACCAGACAAGGAACCCCATGATTGGGCCCACAGCACAGACCCTCGATTTTGGGCTGATTGCACTGAGTGATTGCTGACCTACATCTTTCTGGGGTGGAGACTCTGGGAGACAAGCAAAGCGGTGGAGCAGCAAGCCAGCTGATGTGGAGCCCAGAGGATTTGGTGCAGGAGTGTCTGTAGTAGAGTGTAGCCAGGGAAAGCCATCCATCTAGGTTCGACTTGCTCCCATAAAATACTTTAGCCATACAGAAATTGTTGGTCCTGGCTAGAGCAATCGGGCAGGGGAAAGAAATAAAGGGCATCCAAATAGGAATAGAGGAAGTAAAACTATCCCTGTTTGCAGATGGCATAATCCTGTATCTAGAAAACCCCATAGTAAGGGCCTCAAAGCTTCTTAATTTGACAAACAACTTCAGTAAAATCTCAGGATACAAAATTAATGTGCAAAAGTCACTAGCATTCCTATACAACAACAACAGTCAAGCTGAGCCAAATCAGGAATAAACTCCCATTCACAATTGCCACAGAAAAAATAAAATACCTAGGAATACAGCTAATTAGGGAGGTGAATAATCTCTACAATGAGAACTACAAACTACTGCTCAAAGAAATAGGAGATGACACAAACGAATAGAACAATATTTCATGTTCATGGATAAGAAAAATCAATATCAATAAAATAGCCATACTGCCAAAAGCAATTTATAGATTCAGTGCTATCCATATTCAACTTCCGATGAGATTCTTCACAGAACTAGAAAAAAACTATTTTAAAATTCATATGGAAACAAAACAGAGCCTGAATATCCAAGCAATTCTAAGCAAAAAGAACAAACCTAGAGAAATCACACTACCTGACTTCAAACTATACTACAAGGCTACAGTAACCAAAACAGTATGATACTGGTACAAAACAGACATAGACCAATGAAACAGGATAGAGAACCTGGAAATAAGACTGCACACTGCAACTATCTGATCTTTGGAAAACCTGACAAAAACAAGCAATGAGGAAAGGATTCCCTATGTAATAAATGGTACTGGAAGAACTGACTAGTTATATGTAGAAAATTGATACTGAACCTCTTCCTTACACCATATACAAAATCAATGCAAGATGAATTAAAGACTTAAATGTAAAACCTAAAAATATAAAAAACACTAGAAAAAAACTAGGCAATACCATTCAGAACATAGACATGGGCAAAGATTTCATGATGAAGATGTCAAAAGCAATTGCAACAAAAGCAAAAATTGACAAATGGGATCTAATTAAACTAAAGAGTTTCTGCACAGCAAAAGAAACCAGGCAACAGACACCTACAACATGGGAGAAAATTTTTGCAAACTATGCACGTGACAAAGGTTTAATATCCAGCATCTGTAAGGAAGATGCTGGCAAGATTGTGAAGAAAAAGGAATGCTTATACACTGTTGGTGGGAGTGTCTTTGTGGAAGACAATGTCGTGATTCCTCAAAGACCTAAAGACAGAAATACCATTTGACCCAGCAATCTCATTACTGGGTACATACCCAAAGGAATACAAATTGTTCTATTATAAAGACACATGAATGCATATGTTCATTGCAGTGCTATCCATCATAGCAAAGACATGGAATAAACCTAAATACACATTAATGATAAACTGGATAAAGACAATGTGGTACATATACACCATGGAATATTGTGCAGCCACAGAGAAAAACAAGATAATGTCCTTTTCAGGGACATGGATGGAGCTGGAGGCTATTACTCTTAGCAAACTAACCGAGGAACAGAAAACCAAATACTGCGTGAACTCACATATGTGAGAGCTAAATGATGAGGACACATGGACACATAGAGGGGAACAACACACACTGGGGTCTACTGAATGGTGGATAGTGAGAGGAGGGTGAGAATCAAGAATAATGACTAATGGGTACTAGGCTTAATACCTGGGTGATTAAATAATCTGTACAAGAAACCGTCTTGTACACAAGTTTACCTATGTAGCAAACCTGCACATATACCCCTGAATTTAAAATAAAAGTTAAAAAAATACTCTTGAGAATTATCCAATTTCCAGTTTTCTCATATGTGTCAAATTTCTATAAAAAGTGCAGAAGAGAGATAAATGACTTAAATATAATACTTCATCAATCTGCATTGCCTAAGGTGCCAAATCACCTCTTTCTTCAAGTACTTTAAAAAATATTGTATTTTTGGCTGGGCATGGTAGCTAACGCCTGTAATCTCAGCACTTTGGGAGGCCAAGGCAGGTGGATCATTTGAGGTCAGGAGTTCAAGACCAGCTTGACCTCACGTAATGAAGCCCAGTCTCAACTAAAATACAAAATTATCTGGGCATGGTGGCGGGCGCCTGTAATCCCAGCTACTCTGGAGGCTGAGGCAGGAGAATTGCTTGAACCCAGAAGGTGGAGATTGCAGTGAGCCGAGATCATGGCTCTGCACTCCAGCCTGGGCAACAGAGCAAAAGCCTCCCTCTCAAAAAAGAAAAAACAAAACAAAACAAAACAAAACAAAACAAAACAAAACTATTTTTTTTTTTACTGCTGGGATTACGATTTTTAAAAAATTTATAAAATTTTTAGTTTAAAAATGGCTTACATTCTAAGAAATCAATAATTTAGTGATTAGATATGCAGATGAATATTATTTCATGGCAATTAAGAGGCCAATATGTATTGAGCAAATTTTTGTTTTAAATGATATTCTTTATTTGTGATAGTGGAGTTTTCTGTTTACAAAAAGATGGAGTGAAGCACACAAAAATAATTTGGTAGCATCATATGTGACAAATTAAAATTTGCTTCTAAAATTTTATTTTCAAATTCATAAGACCAGACACATAGGAGTAAAAAAAAGAAAAGTCCAATACTGATTTTTAAACACAGAGAAAATAATAGCTCATCAGAATATATTGAATTCCCTGTAATTTGAGCCAGGCACGGTGGCTCACTCCTGTAATCCCAGCAATTTTGGAGGCCAAGGCAGGTGGATCACCTGAGGTCAGGGGTTCGAGACCAGCTTGACCAACATGGTGAAACCCGTCTCTACTAAAAATACAAAATTAGCCCAGTGCGGTGGCGCATGCCTGTAATCCCAGATACTTGGGAGGCTGAGACAGCAGAATTGCTTGAACCCAGGAGGTGGAGGTGGCAGTGATCCAAGATCATGCCATTGCATTCCAGCCTGGGCAACAAAAGTGAAACTCCATCTCAAAAAAAAAAAAAAGAAAAGAAAAAATAAATAAGAGTTCCCTGTAATTCAATATTTTTTCCTTCATTAAATTATGAAACTACTGTGGTATTTTATTTTATTTCATTGTGGTATGAACACATCTGCAGGTATAGATCTGAAAGATATTTTTTAAAAGAACAGATTTACCCTACAATACATTATTGTTTAGGTATAATGTTGTACAGCAGATCACTAGAGCTTATTTACCTTGTTTAACTGAAACTATGCCCATTGATTATTAGCTCTCCATTTATCTCTTCTCATGGCCCCTGGTAATTATCATCGTACACTTTGATTCTATGTATTTCACTATTTTAGATGACCCATATAGGTGGATTTGTACAATACTTGTCTTTTTGTGACTATCATATTTCACATAGCATAATATTCTCAAGGTTCATTTGTATTGCATCTTGCAAATTTTTCTTCATGTTTAAGGCTAAATAATATGGCTCACTGCAGCCTTGATCACTAGATTCAAGCAATCTTCCCCCCACCCAGCCTCCTGAGTAGCTGAGACCACACTTGCATGCCACCACTACAAGCTAATTTTTTATAATTATTTTGTTGAGACAGGCCTCACTATGTTGCCCAGGCTGCTCTTAACCTCCTCAGATCAAGGAATCCTCCCACTTCAGCCTTCCAAAGTGCTGGGATTACAGGTGTGAACCACCATGCCCAACCCAACACTTTCTTTATTCATTTGTCTGTTGATAGACATTTAGGTTATTTTTAAGTTTTCGCTGTTGTGAATAGTGCTACAAAGAACCTAGGAGTGCTAACATCTTTTAGTATTCTGATTTCTATTCTTTTGAATAAATATCCAGAAGTGAGACTGCTGAATCATATGGTAGTTTAATTTTTAATTTTTTGAGAAGCCTCTATATTGTTTTCCATATTGGCATCACAATTTTGCATTCTCACCAATAGCGTGTGAGGGTTCCAATTTCTCCACATCTTCACCAATACTTTGTTTTGTTTTGTTTGATAATAGCCAATCTGACAGGTGTGATATATAATATTTCATTGCGGTTTTAACTTGCATTTTTCTAATGATTAGTTACGTTAAGCATGTTTTTTTTTTTTTTTTTTCATATATCTGTTGGCCATTTGGATGTCTTCTTTTGGGAAATGTCACTTTGAGTTTTTAGCCCAGTTTTTAATTGGTTATTAGTTTTATTTTTTCTATTGAGCTGTAGAAGTTGCTTAGATATTTTGAAAATTAGCACCTTATGAAGATATATGATTTGCAAATATTTTCTTTCATTCCATAGGTTGAATTTTCATTCTGTTGACTGTTTCACTTGCTATGTAGAAAGTTTCTAGTTTAATTTTGTTGCCTATGCTTTTAGTGTCATATCCAACACATAATTGCCAAAACTAAAGTCACAACTCTTTTTCCCTATTTTTTTCAGGGTGTTTTTGAGTTTAAGGTCTTATGTTTAAGTCTTTAATTGACTTGAGTTGATTTTTGTGTATGGTAAAAGATAAGGGTCAATTTTATCCTTTTGTACTTGGAAATCAGCTTTCCCAATAACTCTTGGTAAAGAGAATATTCTTGCCCCATTATGTATTGTTGGTAACCTTGTCAAAGATCATTGACTGTATATGTGTGGATTTATTTCTAGGCTGTCTATTCTGTTGTCTTTATGCCATTATCATACTGTTTTGATTATTGTAACTTTGTAATGTATTTTGGAATCAGGAAGTATGATGTCACTAGCTTTATTCTTCTTTCTCACAATTGATTAGGTTATTAGTGGTCTTTGTTTGTTACAAATAAATTTTAGTACTTATTTCTATTTCTGCAAAAACTACAATTTGGATTTTGTTAGGGATTGCAATGAATCTGTAGATTGCTTTGGGTAGCATGGGCATTTTTATAATATTATGTCTTCCAAACTACAAGCATGGGATGTCTTTCAATTAGTTTTTTGTTCAATTTATTTCTTCAACGTTTTATACTTTTTGGTATGTAAGTTTTTCACCTCCTTAGTCAAGTTTATGCCTACATTTTTTATTCTTTTTGTCTTTTCCCCAGTGTGTGTTCTTGGCACCTTTGGCAAAAATAGGTTCACTGTAGGTGTGTGAATTATTTTCTGCATTCTCTATTCTGTTCCAGTGGTCTATGTGTCTGTTCTTATGCCAGTACTTTGCTGTTTTGGTTACTATAGCTCTGAAGAATAACTTGCAGTCAGGTAATGTGATTACTTGAGGTTTTCTCTTTTTATTGGTGAGATCTTTGACTATTCAGGGCCATTTGTGGTTCCAAATAAAATTTTAGATTTTTTTAATATTTCTGTGAAGAATGTCATTGGTATTTTGATAGGGATTGCATTGAATCGGCAGATTGCTTTGAGTAGTATGGAAATTTTAACAATATTGATTATTCCAATCCATGATTAGAATAACTTTCCGTTTTTTGGTGTCACATTTAATTTCTTTCATCAGTAATTTATAGTTTTCATTATAGAGACCTTTCACTTCTTTGGCTAGTTCCTAGGTTTTTAATTTTATATGTGGCTACTGTAAATGGGATTACATTTTTTATTTGTTTTTCTGATTGTTCACTGTTGGCATATAAAAATGCTACTGATTTTTGTATGCTGATTTTGTATCCTGCAACTGTACTGAATTTGTTCATCAATTCAAATGGTTTTCTTGTGGAATCTTTAGATTTTTCCTAAAATAAGATTATATCATCTATAAACAAGGATAATAAAACTTATTCTGTTTCAATTAGGATGCTTCTTATATCTTTCTCTTGTCTGATTGCTCTAGGTATGATTGCCAGTACTATTTTGAATAACAGTGGTGAAAGTGGTCATCCTTGACATGTTTCAGATCTTAGAGAAAGAGCTTTTAGATTTTCCCCATTCAGTATGATACCAGCTGTTGGTCTGTCATATATGTTTTTTATTATGTTGATGTATGTTCCTTCTATGCCCAGTTTTTTTTTTTTAGAAATTTTTATTATAAACAAATGTTAAATTTTATCATATGCTTTTTTAGCATCAATTGAAATAATCATATGGTTTTTGTGCTTCATTCTGTTGATGTGATTTATAACATTTATTGATTTGCTCATGTTTAACCATCCTTGCATACCAGAAATTAATCTCAGTTGGTCATGATGAATAGTCTTTTTAAGAGTCTTTTTAATGTATTGCTGAATTTGGATTGCTTGTATTTTATTGAGAATTTTTGCATCAATATTCATCAGAGATATTGGCTTGTTGTTTTGTGTGTGTTTTTTTATGTGTATTTGGCTGGTTTTGGTCTCAGGGTAATAATGACCTCATAGTGGAATTTCTTTCTTGTTCAATCTTAGATTTTACGTGTCTAGGAATTTGTTCATTTTTTCTAGATTTTAAAATTTATTGGCATATAGCTGCTCATAGCAGCCACTAGTGATCCTTTGAATTTCTGCAGTATCAGTTGTAATGCCTCCTTTTTCATCTATGCTTTTATTTATTTGGATATTCTCTTTTTTTTCTTAGTCTGGATAGAGGTTTGTCGATATTGTTTAACTTTTTTAAAAAACCAACATTTTGTTTTATTAATTTTTTTGTATTGTTTTCTTCATTTTAAATTCATTTATTTCTACTGTGATATTTATTATTTCTTTTCTTCTACTAATTTGGAATTGGTAAATTCTCGATTTCCTATTAATTTAAGACACATTATTAGATTGTTTATTTGAAGCTTTTCTTCTTTTCTGATGTAGGCACTTAACAGCTGTGAACTTCCCTCTTAGTACTGTTTTTGTTCTGTCTCGTAGGTTTCTGTCATGCTGTGTTTCCATTATCATTTGTTTCAAGAACTTTTTCAATTTTCTTCTTAATATCTTCATTGACACAGTGGTCATTCAGGAGCAAATTGTTTAATTTTCATGTATTTGTGTAGCTTCCAATATTCCTCTTGTTATTGATTTCTACTTTTATTTCCTTGTGGTCTGAGAAAATGGTTAATATTATTTTCACTTTTTTGACTGTTTTAACACTTGTTTTGTGACCTAACATACGGTCTATCCTTCAGAATGATCCGTGTGCTGAGGAAAAGAATGTGTATTCTTCAACTCTTGGATGAAATATTCTGTAAATATCTATTAAGTCCATTTGGTCTATGGTGCAGATTAAGTCCAATGTTTCTTTATGGATTTTCTGTCTGGAAGATCTGTCCAATGCTGAAAGTGGGATGTTGAAGCCTCCAGCTATTATTGTACTGGGGCCTGCTTCTCTCTTTAGCTCTAATAACATTTGCTTTATATCTTGTTGCTGTAGCATCAGGTGCATATATAGTTAAAATTGTTATATTGTCATGTTGAAGTGATCCCTTTATCATTATATAGTAATATATCAATATAGCAATATCACTATATAATATCTGGACAAGATCTGGAAGAATATTCTGAATTACCAGGCAGAGAATCTTATTTTCTTTCCTTACCTTTTCCTAAACAGATTCTCTGTCTCTATTCTGAGCCACCTGACACTTGGGGTGGAAAGACACAGGCTGCCCTGTGGCCACCACCACAAAGACAGTGTGGGTTAGACCTGTAGCCAGCTCAGCACTGGGTTTTGCCCAAGACTTGCTGTAATCACTCCCTGGTTACCACCTATGTTCACTCAAGGCCCTGGGGATCTATAATCAACAGGTGACAAACACAGCCATGTCTGTGTCTTTCCCTTCAGGGCAGTGAGTTTTCCTAGTCCCCAAACAAGTCCAGAGGTACCATCTAAGAGCCAACATCTACAGTCAACAACCTTAGACATCTACCTGGCGTTTTAATGTACTGAGGCTGAGATGGCACTCAAACCACAAGACATAGGCCTTTCTATTTTTCCCTCACCTTTCCAAAGGCAAAGGATCTTTATGCCATGACCACCACCACCATAGGCCATGAGGAATACTGCCAGATACTGGTAACATTCCCTTAAGGACCAAAGATCTTTAGTCAACATTCGGTGAATGCTGCCTGGCCTGGAACTCACCCTTCAGGGTAGTGGTGAGAGAAGAGAGAGAAAAGAATTAGGCAGATAGCTAGGAAAAGTCCTCAGAGGAATTCCTTTTTCTAACAAAGGAACAGCTTGAAAGATCAAGCTGCAAGGAAAGATAAGGGGGCAAAGACCACCATAAAAATGCCTTATGTGTAACTAATAAGGGTCACATATGTATGGTAGGCTTCAGTGAACACATCCTTTTTCTTTTTTGCACATACTCAGATAAGGGAGCTTGTGGGGGTGGGGCCGCTTACTTGAAATGTGTCTACAGCTGCACAGATAAGGGGAATTACACATAACCAGGCACATCCTCAACGGAGAATTCTGCCCCCTAATACATGCACAGTAAGGGAAATTAAACAACATGGTGTAACTTACGCTAAGAATATGCATGCACACTAAAACGACAGGGTGGAGCTGTCAGGAATTTGTGCCTTATGCAAATGAAATACCTAGTCCTAACTGGTTTTTTACACCATATGTAAATGAAACATCCCTCCCTACTAATCTGTTTAAAAAAGCCTGTATTCAACTGAAGAATGGCAACCTTCTTTCTGGGCCTCTCTTGGCTGTGAAGAGGTTTCTCCTTTTGCTTATTAAACTTTCGTTCCAACCTCACCCCTGGGTCAATGCCCTTAATTTTCTTGGTTGTGACAAAAAGAGCTCCGAGTCCAACTTCAAACAACAAAATTGAAACATTGTGGTGCATTGGTAAGGCTGCAACAGTGGGCAGCTAAGTTCTGGTTCAGGCACCCCAAGATTCCACTTCATGCTTTACCCGCACTGTGGCCAAGCTGATAGTTAAGGTGCAAGACAAAGTCCCCTTCACTTTTCCCTCTGCTTTGCTCAAGCAAGAGTCTTACCTCATAGCCACCACTGCTGTGAATGTGCTGAATCTCACCTTAAACCAGCAATCAGAGCTTCATCCAAGGCCCTTGACATAATACCTGGGTATCACTGCTAGTTATTCAGAGCCTAAGGGCTCTTTATTTATCAGGTGATGAATTGTACCAGGACTGATTTCTTCCACTCAAGGCAGAAGTTTCCCTTCTGGCTCAGCACACATCTAGAAATGTCATCCAGGAGCTAGTTTCTGGAAAGAGGTCCTCACAACTCTGACTGATGCCCTAGTATCCAGGATGCAAGATTCAAGATGCAAGACAAAGTCCTCCACACTCTTCCCTCTCTTCTCCTCAAGTGAAAGGAAAAGGTCTCTTTTGGACCCACAACCTATGCAGCCTGGGGTTAGGGGAGGGGTGATGCCAGCACTCCCTTAACCACCCCAGCTTGTGTCTCAGTAGGTCACATGCCCCTACAGTCCACTAGCTATGGGCCCAGTGCAGCTCTAGGAATCACCTAAAAGTTGCAGGTCTCGTAGCCTAAGACTTCCTTTCAATTTTATTTAGAAACTTTGAGAGAATTTTAGCCTGTGGTGGTGAGGTTTGTGGAAACTCAAGTTCTGACTGCTAGTATCAGATTCCCCTCTGGCTAGGGCTATTTCAAATGCTCCTTCCGTGGGCAGATGTCAACTGAATTTAGTCCACTTTTTCTTTCTGCCCTAACGGCATCATCGAGTACAATGTCTCACAATTATTACTCTTTCCCTCGCCCAGTGCACAGAAACGCTCTCCGCATCAAACTACAGATGCAGGGGAGTGGGGAAAGGGTGGCGTCAGTGATTCAAGACTGTTTTTCCTACCTCTTCAGTGTCTCTTTCAGTGATATGAAGTTAAAACCAGGTACTGTGAGTGCTCACCTGATATTTGTTTCTTATGAATGTACTTTTCTTGTGTAGATAATTGGTGAATTGGAGTCTTCGCTGGTGGGGACAGTAAGTGGAGCCTTCTATTCCACCACCTTGCTTCACCTCCTCCCTATTTTTTTTGTTCTAATAGTTATTTTACAGAATTCTTAGATATATATATATATATATATATACACACACACACACACATACACATATATATAATCATGATATATGCATTTTGACTTTTCTCTTTTCTTTTTCAATTTGGGTGCTTCTTAATTCTTGTTCTTACCTAATTGCTCCATCAGAAACTTCCAGTATGATGGTGAATGGAAGTGGAGAGAGTGGGCATCCTTGCCATGTACCTGATCTCAAAGGAAAAGCTTCTAGTTTTTCAACGTTGAGTATGATGCTAGCTGTGAACTTTTCATATATGAACTTCATTATGTTTGGGTAATTTGCTTCTGTTCCTAGGTTGATGAGAGTTTTTTACACGGAAGGGTGCTGAATTTTGTCAGAAATACTTTCTAAGTCTATTGACATGTTTATATGAGTATGATAGAAAATATTTTAAACTTTTAGCAAGCTTAACTAATTCTATGAATAAATTAACACATCATTAAACATGATACTTATGGTGAAGCCATGAGATTTAAAGAAGATTGCATATGCTATTCACAAAAGAAAATTCAATGTTATGTATATGGTGTTCAGATATGAAGGGAAGGGCATTTAGTAACTTTTTTTAAGCTAATGCAACTCCTTATCTAAATTTTCAATGAGTGATTTGGAGGTCCTTCCTCTTAACTCCATAAAATGAGAATTGAATTATGTGGTGTACAATATGTTTAGATAATGAAACATAAACATTGAAGTAAGCACATGAAATAGTCATTTAAATTGTCAGAAAGGATGTCTACATTTCTGGAAAGCAGACTGCATGTTGTGTGGGATACAAATACTTGCAAAGATAGTAAAAAAAGTGTACGGTTTATCTTTTTTAAAAGAAAGGTAAATTTTTTAAAGAATTAACAGTGTGAGTACAGTTATATCATGCTGATCTTGGACTACAGGTATTTAAAATATGGTTTCAAGGGTAATTTAACTTTTCTATATGTTGTATTACTGGGAAGACATTCTCGTGCAGTGGAAAATTCTATGCAGTTATAAGATATTCACTCTAGATAGTAATCATAATAACAGTGTGCTCATCATATGCTGAGTACTCTAAAAACATCGTTCATTTAACCTTTACATAGCTCCATTGAGGTGTAAACCCAATTAGGGTGTATTAGTCAGAATTCTCCAGAGGAATATAACAATACAAGATTATATGTATACACACACACACACACACACACACACACACACAAATAATGGAATTGGCTCATGTGATTATTGATGCTAACAAGTCCCAAGATCTGCAGTCTAAAGATGCAGGAGAAGTAATGGTGTACTTTCATTCCATGTCTGAAGGCCTGAGAATCAGGAGAACCAATGGTACAATTCCACTCTGAATATCAACTGGATTGACTGAGGAAGAGCCAGTGTTTCAGTTTGAGTTAAAGGCAGCAAACAAAACAAAACAGATGTCCTAACTAAAGATAATAAGGCAGAAGGAGCTCCCTAATACCCCCCAGATTGTCAATCTTTTTGTTTTATTTAGACATTCAACTGATTAGATGAGGTTTACATGTATTAGCGAAGGCAATTTGCTTTACTATGCTTACTGATTTAAGTCTTAATCTCATTCAGAAATTTCTTCATGGACACACACATAATAATATTTGACCAAATGTCTGGGCACCCATGGCACAGTCAAATTGACACATAAAACTAACCATCACAAGTTCATCCCTGGTCAACTTGACACCCATAGATAACTCCATAAATCACATTTAATATCCAAATAAAGAAAATAACAAGGTTATCATTTCACCTAACATGACAAAACTATCCTGTATACAAACAAAAATGCACTAAGTCCTTCCTGAGAAAAGACAATAAATCTCTGAGTAAAGGTTACTCTTTTCTTTGATAACCTGTAATTTAAATAATATAATTTAAAATTAACAATAGACATCCAAATAGGAAAAGCCGGAGTCAAATTATCTCTCTTTGCTGATAATACGATTATATATCTAGAAAACCCTAAAGACTGCCAAAAGTCTCCTAAAACTGATAAATGACCTCAGTAAGGTTTCAGAATACAAAATCAATTTACAAAAATCAGTAGCATTTCTATACACCAATACCATTTAGGCTAAGAGCAAATCACTAACATAATCCCATTTACAATGGGCAGAAAAAATTAAAATACCTAGGAATGCATCTAACCAAAGAGGTGAAACAGCTCTACAAGGTAAACTACAGAACACTGCTGAAAGAAATAATAAATTACAGAAACAAATGGAAAACATTCCATGCTCATGAATTGGAAGAGTCAACACTGTTAACATGACCATACTGCCTACCCTCAAAATCTACAGTTTCAACACCATTGCTATCAAACTATCAATGTCATTTTTCACAGAACTAGAAAAAACTGTTCTAAAATTTATATAAAACCAAAAAAGAGGCCAAAGAGCCATGGCAACACTAAGCAAAAATAACAAAGTCAGATGCATCACATTACCCAACTTCAAACTATACTATAAGGCTACAGTAACCAAAACAGCAAAGTAATGGTACAAAAACAGATACATAGAACCGATGGAATAGAATTAAGAACCCAGAAAGAAAGCTCTACACCAACAACCATCTGATCTTTGACAAAGTCAACAAAAATAAGCAATGGAGAAAGGACTTTCTATCCAATAAATGATGCCGAGATAGCTGGCTAGCCATATTCAAAATAATAAAACAGGACCCCTACATTTTACATATAAAAAAATTAACTCAAGATTGATTAAAGATTTAAATATAAGACCTAAAACTGTAAAAGTTCTAGAAGAAAAGCTGGGAAATACTAATCTGGACATCACCCTTGGGAAAGAATTTTTTGCCAAGTCCTCAAAAACAATTGCAACAAAAACAAAAATTGACAATAAGAGCTAATTGAGCTAAAGAGTTTCAGCACAGCAAAAGAAATTATCAACAGAGTAAACAGATAACTTACAGAGTGAGAAAAAACATTTGCAAAGTATGCATCTAACAAAGTTCTAATATCCAGAATTTATAAGAAACTTAATTCAACAAGCTAAAAACAAATACCCAATCAAAAAGTGGGCAAAAGACATGGAGACACTTCTCAAAAGAAGACATATAAGTGGCCAGCAAATGTATGAAAAATAGCTTCATATCACTAATCATCGGAGAAATGCAAATCAAGACCACAATTAGATACCATCTCACACCAGTTAGGATTATTATTACTAAAAAGTCAAAAAATAACAAATGCTGGCATGGCTGTGGAGAGAAGGGAGTGCTTAACACTGTTGGTGGGAATGTAAATTAGATCAGCCACAATGGAAAGCAGTTTGACAGTTTTTCAAATAACTAAAAACAGAGCTAGTATTCAACCCAGCAATCCCATTACTGGGTATATATTCAAAGGAAAATAAACCATTGTACCAAAAAGGCACATGCACTCATATCTTTATTGCAGTGCTGTTCTCAATAGCAAAGACTTGGAATAACCCAGGTGTCCATCAGTGGTAAATTGTACTAAAAAATATGGTAAGGTAATATACAATATGGAATATTATGCAGCCATAAAAAAGAACAAAATAATGTTCTTTGCAGCAACATGGAAGCAGCTGGGGGCCATTATTCTATGTATGTTAACACAGAAACAGAAAAATAAATACCATATGTTTTCACTTATAAGTGGGAGCTAAGCACTGGGTACACATGGAAATAAAGATGGGAGCAGTAGACACTGGAGACTACTAGATGGAGGAGAGAGGGAGGGAAACCAAGAGATGAAAAACTACCTATTGAGTACCATGCTCATTACCTGGGTAATGGAATCCTTTGTAGCCCAGACCTCAGCATCACACAATATACCCATGCAGCAAACCTGCTTATGAAACCCTTGAATGTAAAATATAAGTTAAAATTATAAAAGAACAAAAAGTAAAAGCTAAAATTAATAGTATTCAAATAGGATAAGATAAAGTCAATGAATATTATGGAATAGGGAATAGGAGAGGAAAGAAAACAAAAAGCATTTGATTAATATATATATATATCTACAAGCAAATATGCATATATATATATATACAAAAATAGTCATAACAAAATAAGGAAATACCATGACAATATGAATTCTTACTTCTGTAACTTATCACATGGTTGTAACTGGATTTATAGCTAATTTCTTCCACTACCCAATCTGAATTCCCCTTTCCTTCAGCAAGCACCTCAGCTAATCCTGGTTCATTACCCGGTGGGATGACCCAAACTTTTATTACTGAAGAGTCTTGGCCATTACTAGTTCTACTTGAATTGGGTTATTGTGGTACTCCATTGATTATAATCACAGAGCATGTTAATATTAAAAGTCACCCTAAAAGTTATTTTGTATTTTATACACATTCTTTCTTAACTTCATTGTGCAGAGACAGTGCAATCCCTTCTTATTAGTATCAATCACCCCAGCCAGCACAGTAATTCTCTTCTTTCCTTGTTAATTCAAAGGCATGAGGAGGCTAATGTGGCCAGGTGGCAATCTTAATTTATAGTTTAATAGAATTATTATTGTGTATCCTTTTGGAAGCATTGCTATGAAGAAATACCTGATACTGGGTTACTTATAAAGAAAAAAGACATTTAGTTCACAGTTTTGTATACTGTACAAGAAGCATGATGCTGCTATCTACTCAGCTTCTGGAGAGGTCTCAGGAAACTTACAATCATGTAAGTTTCCTTTTGGTACTAAGACTTCTAGGTCAGCAAACCATAAAGTCCAGGAAGTAGGAAGCAAACATTTTGCTAATGGGTCATAATATTGTTTGGATGTGTTCCTTGCTCAAATCTCATTGAAATGTAATCCCCATATTGGAGGTGAGGCCTGGTGGGAGGTGATTTGATCATGGGAGCAGATTTCTCATCAATGGTTTAGCACCATTCCCTTTGGTTCTGTCGTCATAATAGTGAGTAAATTTTTGTGATATCTGGTCCTTAAAAAGTGTGTAGTACCTGCCCCCTCTCTCTCTTGCTCCAGTTCTCACCTTCACCTCCTGCTCCTGCTTCACTTCTGCCATAATTGTAAGTTTTCTGAGGCCTTCTCAGAAGCTAAGCAGCTGCCAGTATCATGCTTCCTGTACAGTCTACAGAACTGTGAGCCAGTTAAACCTCTTTTCTTTATAAGTTACCCAGACTCAGGTATTTATTTAGAGCAATGCAAGAACAGACTAGTGAGTGCTACTATTCCCATTTCTACCTCTTGATTCCTGCACCTATGAATTCTGTCTATAGGGGAAATAGCACCACACACTGGATAATAATTCAAAGCATACACAGCCTCCTAAACAACCTTGCCCCAGCCCACCTATCTGGCATTGTAACCATCTTTAAAAGGTCATTTAATTATTATGTCAAGCCAGCTGATTCAGAATTATGGGTGATATCGTTTGGCTCTGTGTCCCCACCCAAATTTCATCTTGGATTGTAACCCCCATATGTTGGGGGAGGGGCCAGGTGGGAGGTGATTGAATCATGGGGGCAGACTTTCCCCTTCCTGTTCTTGTGATAATGAATGAGTTATTATCACAAGATCTGGTTGTTTGAAAGTGTGTGGCACTTGCCTTCTCTCTCTCTCTCTCTCTCTCTCTCCCTTGCTCCACCATAGTAAGATGTGTTTGCTTCCCCTTCACTTTCTGCCATGATTGTAAGTTTCTTGAGGTCTCCAAGTCATGATTCCTGTTAAGCCTGCAGAACTGTGAGTCAATTAAATCTCTTTTCTTCATAAATTACCCAGTCTCAGGTAGTTCTTTATCACAGTGTGATAATGGACTAATACTAATACAGTGGGAAACATGGTCAAACACTAGTGACTGCCAAAAGCATGGGCCCATTGTCATGCTTTATTTGTTGTGAAGTGAGTTCCTTTATCAGAAGCAGATCTGTGTGTAATACTATAACAGTGGATAAGGGATTTTGTAAGTCTACAGATGGTAGCTTTGTCAGAAGTGTTGTATGCAGAGAATACACATTTTTATTCAAGGTAAATTTCTATTCCAGTAAGAACAAAACATGTGTTGCCCCTTCAATGATGAAAGTGGTTCAACGTATTCAACTTAATATCAGGCATTTGGCTGATCACCATAGGTAATGGTGTCATATTATGGAATTAATGTTGGTCTCTGATCCTGGCAGATTGGATAACCAGTGGTGCCATTAAGCAGGTTGGCCTTGGTGAGTGGAAGTCCTTGTGGTTGACACAATGCATAATCCCCATCTCTGCCACAATGGTCACTTTGTTTATGAGCCCATTGGGTAATGACAGGGGTGGCTGAGGGAAGAGTTTGGCTGGTATCTACAGAATTAGTCTTGTTATCCACTTGGTTTATAAAATCTTCTGCTGATGTCATTTTTGGTGAACATGCACATGGGATTCAAATATGTTTGGTTTTTTTGCCCATTCAGAGAGATCTATTCATATGCATCTTTCCCAAATTTATTTGTCAGCAATTTCTCAATCATGTTTCTTGCAAGTCCCTGACTGTCCAGCTAAACTCAGCCACAGCCCATGAATTAGTATATAATTGCATGTTTGGCCATTTTTTCCTTGAAGTAAAATGAACAATCAGGTGCACTTCTTGAAGTTATGTCTACTGGGAGAATTTTTCTTTACCAAGGTTGTTCAGGGGTGTCCCAGAAAGAGGCTATAGTACCACAGCCATCCACTTTGGTGCCTGGATATCATGTGAAACCATTTTTAAATCAGGCTCAAGTATTCTCTTCCTCTGTCAACTGATCTTAGGGAACCTTTCATTAGGCCATAAGTGCAGGCTGGGAGAGAGAAGGTAGTGTGACAGAAATGGAGAAAATTAACAATTAGACCACTCATTCAAGTAACTTAATTGTGCCTTTGGGGCCCGTTGAAGTTCAATCTCATATATGTAATTTTTGTTTAATGAAGGAATGCTGCTGTGCATTCCCAACTTTATGGTGTTATGGGTGCTATGGTTTGAATTTATGTGTCCCTC